>NC_000012.12:110490431-110641946 GCF_000001405.40 Homo sapiens
CTTTCTGTGTTCATAGTAAGTCCTAAAACAGCAATATTAGAATATCCTACAAGGGCCAGGCGCAGTGGCTCATGCCTGTAATCCCAGCACTTTGGGAGGCCGAGGCGGGTGGATCATGAGGTCACGAGTTCGAGACCAGCCTGACCAACATGGTGAAACCCCCGTCTCTACTGAAAATACAAAAATTAGCTGGGCATGTTGGTGTGTGCCTATAGTCCCAGCTACTTGGGAGATTGAGGCAGGAGAATTAGAATTGCTTGAACCTGGGAGGCGGAGGTTGCAGTGAACCGAGATCACACCACTGCACTCCAGCCTGGCAACAGAGCGAGACTCCGTCTCAAAAAAAAAAGAATATCCTACAAGTATTTTTTTGATTGGGCTAAGGGAAGCTTGGAAATATCCAGATACAGAATAGCATTTGACAGAGATGATGCTCTGACTTGCAAAGTAGGTGATCAATAAATATTTGCTATTTGAATACAACTTTAAAATGTAAATACACATTTTCCCTATCTTATGAAATTACCACATAAATAACTTGGGACTCTCGGACTAGATTAGGTTGGGAGTAGTTACACTAACAAGAGGATTCTTTACGTTATATATTACTCTAGTATGCTTCCTTGCTAAATTTGTTTTTTTTTTGTTTTGTTTTGTTTTTTTTTGAGACGGAGTTATGCTCTTGTTGACCAGGCTGGAGTGCAATGGTGTGATCTCGGCTCACTGCAACCTCCAACTCCAGGATTCAAGTGATTCTACTGCCTCAGCCTCCCGAGTAGCTGGGAATACAGGCATGTAGCACCATGCTGGCTAATTTTGTATTTTTAGTACAGACAGGGTTTCACCATGTTGGCCAGGCTGGTCTTGAACTCCTGACCTCAGGTGATCCACCTGCCTCAGCCTCCCAAAGTGTTGGGATTAGGGTGTGAGCCACTGTGCCCGGCCCCTAAACTTGTATTTTTAAAACTTTTATTAAACCTTGAAAAATGGAAATAGCAACAGTTTGAAGAATCACTGTTAATGTCGGCATGGTATATTATTTAGCAAATAAAATCTGAGTCCAACATTATGACACAATGTAAGAGAAGAGCTCTGAAAGGTCATCTCGTCCACTTTAATATTTATATCCGTAGTTTCACTTGGTTCCTCATTTTTATGTTTTTTTTTAAATTAAATACAGGTTATCAAAGTATAAATGAAAGGTAATTGTTTATTACTGGAGAAGAGAAAAATGTATACAAGAAAGTCTAGATTCTTTCTCCACATGCACTACTTTTGGAATAAAGTTCCAAATATCAACTTTGAAGATACTTACAAGGATAAATTTTTCTTAACAAGTGACCAATTACTGTGTTGTGGACATTTTTTCATAGAATCCATATACTGTAAACTAAATATATTCTTATAGTTTACAGGAAGCTTGGAGCAATTATGTATTAACAGAGAAGATGGTATTATATTTTACTGCAAAATATTATAAAAGTGATACAATTTTGTGGCTCTTAAATGTTTAATTACTTGATTTCAACAGGACAATGAAAAAAAACCAAAAATCATCAAGACAGGCCTGGCTTTAAGGTTTTTTGTATTCGATTCGTTCTACTTTCACATCATCTCCAATTAGCTGATACACATAGGTGACCACTGTAGAAGCCTGGATATCCATCAACACAAATGATGGAATAATGTTTCTAGAAGAAAAAATAAATAATGTCAGTGTTTTGTAGCACAAAGCAGCAGCACTATAAATTTCAATTTAAGATGACTATTTGGATTCAGAGAAATCTGTTACATATCACATGAACAGTTACCAAAAGATTGCCAAAATGGCTAGATTTATTTAAATGGTCACATGTGGCTGGGCACAGTGGCTTACGCCTGTAATCCCAGCACTTTGGGAGGCTGAGGTGGGTGGATCACCTGAGGTCAGGAGTTCAATACCAGCCTGGCTAACATGGTGAAACCCCATCTCTACTAAAAATACAAGAATTAGCCAGGCGTGGTGGCGGGTACCTATAATCCCGGCTACTTGGGAGACTGAGGCACAAGAATCACTTGAACCCGGGAGACAGAGGTTGCAGTGAGCCAAGATTGCAACACTACACTCCAGCCTAGGTGACAGAGCAAGACTCTGTCTCAAAAAAAAAAAAAGTCACATTTATTTTTATTTTATTTATTTATTTATTTATTTATTTATTTATTTATTTATTTATTGAGTCTCCTTCTGTCACCCTGGCTGGAGTACAGAGCCTCAAACGTGGCTCACTGCAGTCTCAACCTCCTAGGCTCAAGTGATCATCCCACCTCAGCCTCCTGTGTAGCTGGGATCACAGGCATGCACCACCACACCCAGCTAATTTTTAAAATTTTTTTGTAGAGACAGGGTCTCACCATATTGTCTAGGCTGGTCTCAAACTCCTGGGCTCAAGCAACCTGCCCTGGTCTCCCGAAGTGCTGGTATTACAGGCATGAGCCACTGTGCCCAGCCACATTTCTTTTACGAAATGTCACACATGCAATTATTTTACTAAAGCCCCCAAATTCCCAAATTCTATACTACTCACGTTTCCAAGGCATTATATGCCCCAGTGGCAGAACCTGGATTAATGTAGAATTTATTTTCATGCTCAAATGCTTCAAATTTGTGTGTGTGTCCCGAGATAAGAATGTCCACATCAAATTGCCTCTGCAACAGGGCTAAGCTGGCCATATCTCCCCATGGAATAACTTGATGTCCATGGATCAGACCAATTTTGAACTGTCCAACAGTCACAACTTTCTGTTCTGGATAATTCAGATTCTAACATAAGAAAAAGACGTAAGAAAATATGTATTTTAGAGATACTGATGTTTAAAAAAATCAGTTTCCTTAAATATTCAATCTCCTATGGATGTTTTGATGTAGTACCCCACAACACACACATTTATACATTTTTTTTTTTTTTTGAGACAGAGTGTTGCTATGTTGCCCAGGCTGGAGTGCAGTGGTACCATCTTGGCTCACTGTAACCTCCGCCTGCCAGGTTCAAGCAATTCTCCTGTCTCAGCCTCCCAAGTAGCTGGGATTACAGGCACCCGCCACCACGCCCGCCTAATTTTTTTGTATTTTTAGTAGAGACGGAGTCTCACCATGTTGGCCAGGCTGGTTTCAAACTCCTAACCTCAAATGATCCACCTGCCTTGGCCTCCCAAAGCGCTAGGATTACAGGCCTGAGCCACTGTGCCCACCCCACATTTATAAATATTTTATTTCTTCTTGGTCTCCAAGGCTGCATCTATATTTTAAAACATAACTTACTCAATATAAACTGGAATTTATCATGCAACCCCTTTATTGTGTTTATTCCTATAGAATATGGGTTCTTTTGCGCATGCTGTAAATAATTATTCCCCCCAAACTTGTGATTTTCCTTTACCTAAGGCATGTAAGTTAGGGTGTGTTCAAATTATAGCTTAATGTAGCCTTAATACTTTTATAGATAGCTTAAAATAATGAGAGCTAACACTTACATAGTACTTAGTATGAGCCAGGCACTACTGTAGGGGTTTTACAAATATCAACTTAATTAATACAAACAATCCTAGAAGGTTCTATTATGATCCCCACTTTATGGATGATGAAACAGGCAAAGAGGTTGTTTGTCCTTTCATCTCCCCGTCTTTCACCTCCATGCCACCTTTAAATTTATCCAAACTCTTTTTAAAATACAATAAAAAGACAGTATGCCCCTTCAGTTTGGTTTAAGGAACCCCATTAAATAACACAAACCAAGATTAATTGATGAAAATCTTATATTCCCAGAAATACTATATGTATAAATTTTTTTTTTTTTTTTTTTGAGACAGAGTCTCACTCTGTCGCCCAGGATGGAGTGCAGTGGCGCGATCTCGGCTCACTGCAAACTCTGCCTCCCAGGTTCACGCCATTCTCCTGCCTCAGCTTCCCGAGTAGCTGGGACTACAGGCGCCCACCACCATGCCCAGCTAATTTTTTTTGTATTTTTAGTGGAGACAGGGGTTCACCGTGTTAGCCAGGATGGTCTCGATCTCCTGACCTCGTGATCCACCTGCCTCGGCCTCCCAAAGTGCTGGGATTACAGGCGTGAGCCACCGCACCCGGCCTAAAATAAAATTTTCAAACTAGAATCAGGTTTATTATGCTACACCATACAATGTTGGCACTGGCAGGGGTTTTAAAAATCATCCATTCCAGTCATATTTACTAAGGATCAGAAAGGGGAAGTGATCTGCCAAAAATCCCATTATTAACTAATGGGAACTCCAGAACTCCTTACTTTTTCTTTTTGAGATAGAGTTTCACTCTGTCGCCCAGGCTGGAGTGCAGTGGCACAATCTCAGCTCACTGCTAGCTCCGCCTCCCAGGTTCACACCATTCTCCTGCCTCAGCCTCCCAAGTAGCTGGGACGACAGGCGCCCAGCACCACACCTGGCTAATTTTTTTGTATTTTTAGTAGAGATGGGGTTTCACCGTATCAGCCAGGATGGTCTTGATCTCTTGACCTCATGATCCACCCACCTAGGCCTCCCAAAGTGCTGGGATTACAGGCGTGAGCCACCGTACCCGGCCCAGAACTCTTTACTTTTTTTCTTTAAAGTCAGGTTTATTGAGGCGTAATTTACACAAAGTAAAATCTTACTTTTTCATGTATAATATGATGGGTTTTGACAAATGCACACGGCTGTGTAAGCACTGCCACACTAAAGATACAGAGCAGCTCTATCACTCCTTCAAAACTCCCTCATGCCCTATAAAGTCAGCCTTTGAGAAAGGAAGCCACAGGAGGGTTGCCAGCAGAGAAGTGATGTGATCTTACTTTACTTAAAAAGGATCACGCTGGTTGCTAGTTGGAGAATAAACTGGAAGGAGCAAGGGTAGAATTAGGAAGTTGGAATACAAGAAAATGATACAGTGGCTTGGAATAAAGTTAGTAGAGGTAGCGGCGGTGAAAAGTTCATAATAAAAACTTTATAAACTTGGCTGAGTGTGGTGGCTCATGCCTGTAATCCCAGCACTTTAGGAGGCTGAGGCGGGAGGATCACCTGAGGTCACGAGTTCGAGACCAGCCTTGCCAACACGGCAAAACGCCATCTCTACTAAAAAAAAAAATAGCTGGATGTGATGGTGTGTGCCTGTAGTCTCAGCTACTTGGGAGGTTAGGCAGGAGAATCGGTTGAACCTGAGAGGCAGAGGTTTCAGGGAGCCAAGATCGTGCCACTGCATTCCAGCCTGGGCGACAGAGCAAGACTCCATCTCAAAAAAAACAAAAACAAACAAAAAAAACTTTATAAATTAAACGACAGCATAAAACAGTAACAAAGCCACTTTTATTCAGTATCTATTTAGTTAGAATAAGTATTTAATGTTTACTAGGTGATCTAAATCAGTGATTTTCAAATAGTAAGGGAGGGGCATGATGTATAGTAATTTTACATTTGGAAAAGAAAAAGGGAAAAAAAAAAAAACCTTACCAGTTGAGAAACCCTGGTCTAAAGATAAAGCTTATGTAAGTAATAATCAAGAAAGGGAGATATTTGAGAAGGGAAAGGGAAATACATCACCTCATCGAAGTCTCCTCTCACAATATGAACATCACCAGCCAGAGTCTTGAGATAGTCATAACTCTCTTTGGTGCAAAGGTTTCCTGTGCAGAGAATGTGCTGAATTTTTCCTGGCACCAGGAGTTTTTTGAATTTAGCTGGCAAACTGTTGCACCGGTGTGGGATGTGCAGATCTCCTAATACCAACACCAACTTTAAAGTGTCAAGGTGAGATAAAGCATAATGTTAAACACAATATCAAAACAAAATAGTCTCCTCTTGTAAGCCCCCTTTTAAGTCTCATAAGAGATCCCGAATCCCAGAAATTATTCATAGGGTTCCTATCATGACTATTTATTTAATCTCAGAAGCTGAATCTGTACGTATTTTTCTTCAGGTCATCAGCTTTGGGATAGGTTTCATCATTGATTGTATCATGACAATTTAAACAGACATACTTATGGTAATGTACTTTGTTCTAAATCAATCTTATTTTGGTTGTAAACAGTTGCATATATAAAATACAGGTAATCATTCTATTTACCAAGAGTGAAATCAAGCATTCTAAAGTGATTCATTTAGAGACCTGTAAATACACTGAATTTTAAAAATTACAAAATGTAAAGTATACTACTGGGCCCTATAGAATTTGGCATTTTTAAAGACTGATATGGTAATTCATATTTCTGCAGTTGTAACATGAAATGATATATTAATCCCAGAAATATTTAAGGAAATTGTTAATAGACAAAAAAGTTAATTATGTAATTTATCTGTACTAGACTGACAACTATGTGCAAGCATAATAGCCAAAATTTGATATTTTTGTTACTTCAAACTATTAGGTGTACGTTACAGAGATATACAACAGCCTTCAGTTTCATCAGGTAAATGTGTGCTTTTGAATTATAATCTTTGATATCTTCACTTTCCTTCATTATTAGAAGTCCTCACTGTCATATTTTTATGGTCTGGATTAAATTGCTCATATATCCTCGGTATAGTTCCCCAACTTAAAAAAAAGAAAACATTTTCACAATCTTTCATGTATATTAGAGCATTAAAACAAAAAAGAGATCAGCTAAATAAGTGATAAATTTAGCATAAGGTGGTTTAGAGCTGCAACATAGTCTCAGATGACAAAAGTAAATTTTGCTTTTAAATATAAAAGAATATAAACCCCAATCCTGTAAAATTTTAATTTAAAAATTTCTTTCTTTTTTTTTTTTTTTTTTTTTTTTTTTGAGACGGAGTCTCACTCTGTCGCCCAGGCTGGAGTGCAGTGGTGCGATCTCGGCTCACTGCAACCTCCGCCTCCTGGGTTCAAATGATTCTCCTGCCTCAGCTTCCCGAGTAGCTGGGACTACAGGCGTGTGCCACCATGCCCAGCTAATTTTTGTATTTTTAGTAAAGATAGGGTTTCACCATGTTGGCCAGGCTGGTCTGGAACTCCTGACCTCAGGTGATCCACCTGCCTCCGCCTCCCAAAGTGCTAGGATTACAGGCATGAGTCACCACGCCTGGCCTAATTTAAAAATTTCAAGATTTGAGAAACAACATTAATTTAGCCATTTAACAGAATACTGTTAGAAAGATCATTTAAAAATAGTATCTGTCTGGCTGAGTGCGGTGGCTCACACCTGTAATCCCAGCACTTTGGGAGGCCGAGGTGGGCAGAATACTTGAGGTCAGGAGTTCGAGACCAGCCTGGCCAACATGGTAAAACACTGTCTTTACTAAAAAGAAAAATACAAAAGTTAGCTGGGCACGGTGGCAGGCGCCTGTAATCCCAGCCAACTTGGGAGGTTGAGGCAGGAGAATTGCTTGAACTCAGGAGGCGGAGGTTGCAGTGAGCTGAGATGGCACTGGCACTGGCACTGGATGCCACTGGCACTCCAGCCTGGGCAGCAGAGTGAGACTCTGTCTCAAAACAAACAAACAAAAAAATAGTATCTATCCTCCAAAGGACAACAGAATCGATTTTTTTTTTTTTTTTTTGAGATGGAATTTTGCTCTCGTCGCCCAGGCTGGAGTGCAATGGTGCAATCTTGGCTCACTGCAACCTCTGCCTCCCAGGTTCATGCAGTTCTCCTGCCTCAGCCTCCCGAGTAGCTGGGATTACAAGCGCTCTCCACTACACCCAGCTAATTTTTGTATTTTTAGTAGAGACAGGGTTTCACCGTGTTGGCCAGGCTGGTCTCCAACATCTGACCTCAGGTGACCCACCTGCCCTGGCCTCCCAAACTGCTAGGATTATAGGCGTGAGCCACTGCGCCCAGCCCAACAGAATCAGTTTCTTCATGTTGATCAGTATAAGCACCTTCATTCTATACAAAATGTTTTCCTTTACAGATATTGCATGCATAAATGTACATGCCCTTTAACTGCTTTTAAAGGCATGACTATTCTTTAATATTATCAAAGAAACCATTAAATAGCTAATAGGATAAAACAAAATAGTTTTGCCACTGCAGACTTTGTAAATGAAAATTAATCAAACAAACAAAATGTATGAAATTAAAATGATTACCAAAAGAAGCTTGATTTATCTTGCAACAAAAATTAAAATTATTGCAAAGAAAAGGAACCGTTACCAGGACACAGAGTTATCGGGACATAGTTTGTAATCTCAAAGTAACACAAGGTTATGAAATTAGCACACTTTAAAATTGTTAAGTAAGATTCTTCTTTATAAAGACTAGTTTCAGCAGGTATTTGTTGTATGACCTATATTAATTGTTTCAATGCAGATCTCAGTGGACAAAACATCTGTAAAACTAAAAACCACTATGAAGTTTCCACCCTCACTGGTAATCAACATAAAAGTACCTGGATATAGAACAATCTTCATTTTAGAGGGGGATTCCTTCTGATATGGATTGAAGTACATAGTTAGTATGGGAATCTTGCTTTGAGAAAAAGGTAAAAATAATAGATTTCTATATTTAAAAGAAGAAGAAGAACAACAACAACAACCACCACCCCAAACTCATAAAAGGGTATATGTCTACAACAGGTTGAAATGTTTGGTACTAATAATGAATGAGCTGTTCAATCTGAATGTACCAGAAAGAACATTAGTAAGACATGGTACTTTATAATGATTGATGACCTAATTCTATAAAGTACTGTGGATTATCTCCAAGACTCAAGACTATTAGCAGTCTAAAGATATAACTGTATGAATGACCACACAATCATTTCAAATTAGTAGGGATCCTTACTAGGACAGAATCCTCTGGTTTCCTGCTGATGACAAAGTTATGGGGAAATAGTGTTACATAACACGTGTCATACTTTGAAACATGTTCCCGCCCAAATTCCACACTTTGACAAATCGGGATAGACATAGATGATAGAGTCCTTTAAGAAAGCAAAAGATCCTGGAAATGGCAGTCTTATTAAATTAAAATAAAGAGCCAACCCAATCAAAGCATGGGAATTCGGTTACTTCCTTTCAACAGACCTTAAAAGGGTAAGAAATCCAGTCAGTAAACAGCCACCCAACCACCACTGTTAGTAGGAGCTAAGTGAAGAAACTTACTCTGTGCCCAGCCTTAGTGGAATGAAGAAGTTGATTGCAGACAGGGGGGATGAAAAAAAAAGGGTGAAACATGACCAATGTTAAAAGAAAGCAACAAAAAGAAACCAAAAAAAAAAAAGAGAACAAAAAACCCATACCAAATGAGCAAACAATTGTTAATGATTTCTGAGTGTTATGAAAGAAAATGTTAAAAATCAGCTGTGCTCAAAACAATACCAAAATAAATATTTGCTTTATTTTTGAACATGACACACACACTTTTTAATAAATTTGTCTTGTCAGTTTCTCCTACTTTTCCTAATCTTGTTCTGTACATCGACTTCCATCTCTGTTTTCCATTCTGTTTAGATTTTTATAAGATTTTATAAAATAATGAATTTGGATTTCTACAAGACACTGTGGAAAATTTATCATCAGTAATAGCTGAAAGGCTAACATTTTCTGGATTCTTAGGGTTTAATTATTCAAGTATATGGATGTTAATTATCTTACATTCAAAATTCTAGTAGCTGGAAAATTATGCTGCGGCTAGGTGATTTTTTGTAGCTGATGCAACACAGCACCATGAATACATTATCAAGTGTTGAACAAATCAACTAAAGGTGAAGACAAAATAATAAAAACAAACACATTTATTCAGGTAAAACTGGACCTTTCCCACACTTGAATTTGCTGCCCACAGACTCTGGACACTGTACTGAGTGTTGAACGTCTGTATCCTTTGCCAAATAAAATGCTTTTAATCATGAAAGAACTGGCTAATGCTAAATTTTTCCCAGTTCTATTTCATATGAAAAATGATGTTCCAGTACAACTACCCTAAATAAGAGGGATCACTTCTCAAACAACTTGAGAAACATTAATATTTTGAAACCATGGCAAGTAATTATGTCTTCTCCCATGGATAGGTGTCTCGAAATTACTGTAAACGGATTACTTTAAATTGGAGTCTGTTTAGAAGCAAAAATTAAAAGTGAGATTAAAGATTTTAAAGAAGCATGCACCATAAATCTCTGGCTGCCATGTCTGTAAGTCCCCCTCTTGAAAAGGCTGTTTGTCATGCAATAGTAATAATCTTAAAAATGCATAGCTTCTTTGGTTTCCTTGTAAAAATAAAAAAGAATGCAATAAATGCCTGTCAGAGGTAGACGTCCCTTTACAGCCAACCTCCATCAACACAAATATGAAGATAATCACAGCTCCATTTCAAACAATTGATTTTTTTTTTTTTTTTGAGCAGCAGCAAGATTTATTGTGAAGAGCGAAAGAACAAAGCTTACACAGGGTGGAAGGGGACCCGAGTGGGTTGCCCCAAACAATTGACTTTTTAAGAGTCAAAGGCACCTTTGAAAATATGATTACAGGCCGGGCGCGGTGGCTCACGCCTGTAACCCCAGCACTTTGGGAGGCCGAGGCGGGTGGATCATCTGAGGTCGGGAGGTAGAGACCAGCCTGACCAACATGGTGAAACCCCGTCTCTACTAAAAATACAAAAATTTAGACGGGCTTGGTGGCGGGCGCCTGTAATCCCAGCTACTCGGGAGGCTGAGGCAGGAGCTGAGGCTTGAACCCGGGCGGCATTGCAGTGAGCCGAGATCGCGGCATTGCACTCCAGCCTGGGCGACAGAGCGAGACTCCATCTCAAAAAGAAAGAAAGAAAATATGATTACAGCTCTGAGTCCTCTCTAGTAGAGGCCCCCAGTTTTTATGTAGGAAGGTCTGAGGGGCACCAAACTACTGGGGGTGAAGGGGTGATTGCTTGAAGGTGGCTGGGGGAGACTAGGTAAGTCTCCAACACCGGCACTCTCCCCAGAAAAATGTGTATATTCACAAAAATTTCCCAACAGTTTCAATGAGTTCACACATCATTAAGGAATCCTACCCTAAAGAGGCGTAGCAACCCGTGGAAAGAAACAGTTCCAGCAATTGCAAGCGCCAAATCCCGCCCTCTGAGAGCACACCTGCTCATCTCAATGGCAGCTAGATGTTATTTCAGGAGCGAGGAGGGTGGTTTATTCCCTTTCCCTAGATGGCAAAGTTAAACGGGTACGAAATTCTGCTCGCTACTTCCTGTTCTGCATTCGAGAGGCCAGCTTCCACCACTACACCCCAACCAGCGGGAGGTGCTTTTTGCGGGAAACGAGTAGGAACCGTCTGGAAACGGAGGACCGTGCCCCTATCCCCGGAACATTCGAGGTATAGGACCAAAGGCCTTCCCTGGCTCGGGCGTGCGTGTCTCGTGACAGGTCGGGCTGCTAGAGGGGCCTTTTTACCCCTTGGATGGCCTCTGGCCCCTTGGGGCCGGGATACGAGACCTAGGCCAGCCGCACCCAGAGGTGGCCGCTCCCTTCCTTCCCTAGACCTCTTCTGGGCCTTTCCCAGGCCAGCGCCTGGGCCCTGACGCCGAGGCCTCCGGGATTTCCCAATTCCTCGCCCTCGGCCTCCCCACGGCTCCCAACAACGCAGCACCCCACCCGAGAGCCAGGCCTTGGTCGCCGCAACTGCAGCCCTCACCATCCTGTCACCGGGCTCCGCTCAGTCACCACCACCGTCGCCGCCCTCTTCCTCAGGCTCCTCGGCGACCCGCCCACTTAACCGCAACCAATGAGAGCAGAGGGAGACAGAAATTGCCGTACGGAGGCCCGCACGGACCCTTCTCCGCCGTAAAGCCGTTTGGGAACTTGTGGAGGCGGGGTGGTAGAGTGCAGAGACGAGATCGCGAAGCTTTGAAAAGCGCGGGCAACATCCGGGCACCTGGGCCGTCGAGCTGAGGCGCGCCTTCCGAGCCTGCTTTTTAGGGCGGATGGCAGCCATGCTGAAGTGCGTGATGAGCGGCAGTCAGGTGAAAGGTGGAGCGGCCTTTGTTGTCTTCCCATTTAGCAGAGAGAAAAGCAGACGTTAATAGGTCGTCCCTACCATTGTCTAATTTTTCCTCTTTGCCTTTTTGCGCAATGACTGAGGACGCACGCCCTGGCCACAGCCCCACCCACTCAAGTCCCTGTTAACTTCTGAGGGGAGGATGAGGACCCATCTCGTGTGACTTAGAGGCAGATGTAATATGGGTGGTATCCGGGAAATAGAGTTGTACCATCGGGCCACAAACTCGGGATGCTGAGGACTGCATGGGGAAGAGTTGAGAGAAAAAAATAATGCTTGGACAGTAAAAGTATTTTTGTGCCAAGAGAACAGCATTAACCTGGTTTTTTTTTTCCCCAGATTCTACCATTTTTAAAAATGTATGAACTTGGAAAAGTCACTAAATCTCTTTGGGGCTCAGTTTCTAAAACGGAAACAGGGGTAATGACAGCACCTTCGTCACAGAGTTTGTTTGGAGGCAATGAAATGGAAATGCGTGTAAAGAGCCCAGTAATAGATGGAATGTACAAGAACTATTAGTGTTGTAAACGGCGCTTTCAAAATGGAAGTTAGGCCGGGTGCAGTGGCTCACGCCTGTAATCCTAGCACTTTGGGAGGCCAAGGCGGGTGGATCACCTTAGGTCGGGAGTTCGAGACCACCCTGACCAACATGATGAAACCCCGTCTCTACTAAACATACAAAAATTAGCCGGGCTTAGTGGTGGGCGCCTGTAATCCCAAGCTACTTGGAAGGCTGAGGCGAGAGGATCGATTGAGCCCGGGAGGTTGAGGCTGCAGTGAGTTGAGCTCGTGCCACTGCACTCCAGCCTGAGTGTCAGAGTGAGACTCTGTCTCAAAAAAAATAAAAAATAAAAAGAACATTAACAATGTCGTACGGGATCAGACTAGTGTGTTTTCCAGCCCTAAATGTGTTCTGTGGTGGGGAAATCTGGCTGCCCTCAAACATCAGAGATGTATGTTGGATACCCCTAATTTCTCTCTCATGACTTGTTGTGACTTGGCTATCAAGCTATTAAAACCACTTCAGATTATCTTCTCCATGCACTGTTTTCACAGTTTTTGGGGGGTCAAATACATTTATCTAAATCAAGTTGTAAAATACATTAGTATGGAAATTGGTTTGCACAGTAGCTCCATGCAACACTGTAAACATATAGAAGGACAAATTTCGGTCAATTTTATCATTTCACACACTACAAATTTATTGAGCCCTGACTATGTGTCTGGCATTTTGCCAAGGGTATTATACTGTATTAAAGTAATGTAGCATTAGTCTGTAAGATACTGTTATTTTTGAATTTCTCTTGAGTCCTCTGAATGCTGAACTAGTCTTGTGATTTGTTTTTATTGTTAGAGGGAAAGAATATAAGCATCACCTTTCTTTTTCTCCATAGTATTTGGGAAAGCAGTTCAAGCTCTATCACGAATTAGTGACGAGTTCTGGCTAGACCCATCTAAAAAAGGTGTAAGTAAGAAAGTTAACAGATCACGTATCAAGGCAAGAGGAGATGTTTAAAGATCCCAGTCCAGATTGAATGTTAACTAGGAAATCCAGAAATTGTAATTATCCCTTTCACTGTTTATCTTTATTTTACATATCTGAATACACTTAGAGCATGGTAAAGTTGAAAATATGCAGATAAGCTTGATTGATTTAAACTGGAAGTCACAAACTGGTAGTTAAGAGACTAGCTACGGTCTGCAGGAATGTTTGTTGGCCTGCACTGTTTTTTTTTTTTTTTAATTTGAAATAATTTCCAACATTTAAAAATTGAGGCCGGGCGCGATGGCTCACGCCTGTAATCCCAGCACTTTGGGAGGCCGAGGTGGGTGGATCACCTGAGGTCAGGAGTTCGAGACTAGCCTGGTCCACATGGTGAAACTCCTTCTCTACTAAAAATATAAAAATTAGCCTGGCATGGTGGTGGGCACCTGTAATCCCAGCTACTCGGGAGGCTGAGGTGGGAGAATTGCTTGAATCCAGCAGATGGAGGTTGCAGTGAGTGAGCCGACATGGTGCCACTGCACTCCAGCCTGGGCAACAGAGTGAGAGTGAGACTCCGTCCCAAAAAAAAAAAAAAAAAAAATTGAGTCAAATTTTTCCTGCTTCTCTTGAAAATTCAGAAGACCTGACAGTTTTGGGACTGCATTCATTCCCAAGTGGAAGTAGTTGGCTGAAACTGAGTAATGGTTTCCCCGCTTAGACAAGGTGTGAGACCGCCAATATGCTGTAACTCCCTTATATATTGCAACTCCCTTATATATTGCCTTTTGCCATTTCACACATTAAGGTTAAGGCTCATGACTGGGTGTGGTAGTTCACAAATGTAATCCCAGCACTTTGGGAGGCTGAGACAGGAGGATCACTTGAGCCCAGGAGTTCGAGACCAGCCTGAGCAACAAAGCAAGACACTACCTGTCTCTACAAAAAAATTTTAAAAATTAGTCGGGTGATATGTTGTGTGCCTGTAGTCCCAGCTACTTGGAAGGCTGAGAGGAGGGAGGATTGGTTGAGGCCAGGGGTTTGGAGGCTGCAGTGAGCTGCGGTGGTACCATTGCACTCCAGCCTGGCCAACAGGCTGGTTTTTTGAAAAAAAGTAAAAAAGAAATTAAAAGAAAGTTAAGGCCCCTGTAGGCATTTACTATTTTATGTTTTCAACATGTAAACTTTTAGATTTAACACATATATGTATTCAATATAATATACATATATGTATACACCTATATATACGTACATGCTTGTATATATACATGTATGTACACCTATATGTATGTATATATATAGGTGTATAATAAATTAACAGACTTGTCCTGAATGCCATTTAAACTATCAAGTATAGAATACAGGTTATGTCCTGTATATATTATAGGTGTACATATATGTATATATATGCAAATTCAATACAGACTATATAGGGCAGTCCATAATTAACATCCCATGTTCTTATTTGAACACATTTAACTGTGATGTTAAACATAATGACGTTTTCTGAATCAAGCTATTATGTAAAGAAAGTTTATTTTCTCCTAAATTTTTTTAAAATAAAAAAATAGAGGTGGGGTCTTGCTCTGTTGGCCAGGCTGGTCTCAGACTCCTGGCTTCCATCCATCCTCCTGCCTTGGCTTCCCAAAGTGCTTGGATTACAGGTTCATGGGAGCCACCATGCGCAACCTCTCCTAAATAGTTTTTATCTTATTTTTCTAGCTTGCTCTAAGATGTGTGAATTCTTCTCGGTCAGCATATGGATGTGTCCTGTTCTCTCCTGTGTTTTTTCAGCATTATCAATGGTCAGCTTTAGTGAAAATGAGTGAAAATGAACTTGACACAACACTGCATTTAAAATGCAAATTGGGAATGAAGGTAAATATAAGTGGCCCTGGTTTTCTCTTATTCTGTAGAAATATTCATTATATAGGACATAACCTGTATTCTATACTTAATAGTTTAAATGGCATTCAGGACAAATCTGTTCATTATTATTATTATTTTTGAGACAGAGTCTCGCTTTCTTACCCAGGCTGGAGTGCAGTGGTGCAATCTTGGCTCACTGCAACCTCTGCCTCCCAGTTTCAAGTGATTTTTGTGCCTCAGCCTCCCAAGTAGCTGGGATTATAGGCGTGTGCCACCATGCCTGGCTAATTTTTGTGTTTTTAATAGAGATGAGGGTTTCGCCATGTTGGCCAGGCTGGTCTTGAACTCCTGACCTCAAGTGATCTGCCCACCTCGGCCTCCCAAAGTGCTGGGATTACAGGCGTGAGCCAGTGCACCTGGCCAAGTCTGTTCATTTTTTTTTTGAGACGGAGTCTCGCTTTGTCGCCCAGGCTGGAGTGCGGTGGCACAATCTCGGCTCACTGCAAGCTCTGCCTCCCGGGTTCACGCCATTCTCCTGCCTCAGCCTCCCGAGTAGCTGGGACTACAGGCGCCCGCCACTACGCCTGGCTAATTTTTTCTATTTTTAGTAGAGACGGGGTTTCACTGTGTTAGCCAGGATGGTCTCGATCTCCTGACCTCGTGATCCGCCCGCCTCGGCCTCCCAAAGTGCTGGGATTACAGGCGTGAGCCACCGCGCCTGGCCAAGTCTGTTCATTTATGAATGCATATACTTTTGTTTCTAAAATGAATCAACCATGTTAAGTATGTGCTTAATATGTATATTTCTGTTACAGTCAATTTTGCCCATCTTTAGATGTCTGAATTCCCTTGAAAGAAATATAGAGAAGTGCAGAATATTCACCAGATCTGATAAATGCAAAGTAGTTATTCAATTCTTCTACAGACATGGTAGGTATAATTAAAAGTGGTTTAAAATACTATGTTTTTTTCTCAATAGTTTTCATGTTTAGAACATTGATATTTCATGTCAAGATTTCTCGTTACATTATTGCTTAGAGTGTGTGTAGTTAAGTGGTAGGGCAGTTTGAAGTATTATCCTTTTTTTTTTTTTTGAGATGGAGTCTTGCTCTGTCGCCAAGGCTGGAGTGCAATGCCGCCATCTCAGCTCACTGCGACCTCCACCTCGTGGGTTCAAGCAGTTCTCCCGCCTCAGCCTCCCAAGTAGCTGGGATTACAGGCACCTGCCATCATGCCCAGCTAATTTTTGTATTTTTAGTAGAGACGGGGTTTCACCGTGTTGGCCAGGCTGATCTCGAACTCCTGACCTCAGGTGATCTGCCCACCTGCCTCGGCCTCCCAAAGTGCTGGGATGAGCCACTGCACCTGGCCTGAGCCAGGCATGAGCCACTGCACCTGGCCTGAAGTATTATCTTACCTGTCACTGTAGAAGTATTGTAAGATGATCGGTATTATTTCTTTTTTTGACTTGTCAGTGGCACAAGCTTTGCCTGCATACAGCCTAATTTTTTTCAAATATCCGTATGAATTCAAGCAATTGGTTGTTCTAAAATTTACTAGCTGCTTGATTATATATATGTATATTATATATATAATATGTATTATATATAATATATGTATTATATATAATATATAATATATGTATTAAATATAATATATAATATATATGTATTAAATATAATATATAACACGTATTAAGTATAATATATATGTATTAAATATAATACATAATATATGTATTAAATATAATACATAATATATGTATTAAATATAATACATAATATATGTATTAAATATATATGTATTATATATGTATAATATATACATAATACATATTATGTATACATATATACATAATATTATATACATAATGTATAACATATATACATATATATATTCATTTTGAGATGGAGTTTCGCTCTTGTTGCCCAGGCTGGAGTGCAATGGCATGATCTTGGCTCACTGCAACCTCTACCTCCTGGGTTCAAGCAATTCTCCTGCCTCAGCCTGCTGAGTAGCTAGGATTACAGGCATGCTTCACCATGCCCGGCTAATTTTGTATTTTTAGTAGAGATGGGGTTTTACCATGTTGGTCAGGCAGGTCTGAAACTCCTGACCTCAGATGATCTGCCGGCCTTGACCTCCCAAAGTGCTGGGATTGCAGGTGTGAACTACCGCGCCTGGCTGTATTTCTTAATTTAATCTTACATTTATTATAATATATTTTTATTTCAGCATATATTTATAGTCTTTAAATTGTTTCCTATAAAATACTAATAATTTAACATTATTTTTTCCTTCTTTGAACTTCAGTTCATTTAATAGCAGAATGATTCAAAGAGCATGATTAAAAGCATAGCAAGCCTTGACATCACAAAGATGTGCGTGTAAATTCTTCTCCACTTATTAGTTTTGGGACAGTGCATAAGCTCTCTGAATCTTCATTCCTTACTGTGAAGTGGAGATGATCATGCCTACCCACAAGTTACGGGGTGATTGTGAGGATGAAGTGAGATCACATATGTAAAGTACATACCGCAGTACCTGCCCCAGGGGGAGTACTTGTTAGTGATTGCTGTTACTATAATTATCCTCTTTCCTTATCTCCAACTAGATTTTAGACAGAAAGTGAATACTTGGTATTCAGTATCTCTCAAGTAGCTTACTTGAGTCATGTCCAGTAAGTATTTGTGATTGGTTAATTATTTAATGGTTTTTATAGGGTAGTTATATGATACTATGCCTTAGGTTACAAGTAACAAATAAAAACAGACGGTCCAACTCAAACTAGCTTAAAAAATAAAGTATTGGCTCATGTAAACAAAAAATTCAAAATTAAGTCACAGGCATGGTTGTTTTTGTTTTTGTTCTTAATTTTTGTAGAGTCAGGGTCTCGTCATGTTGCCCAGGCTGGTCTCAAACTCCTGGGCTCAAGCAATTCTCCTGCCTTGGCCTCCCAGAGTGCTGGGATTACAGGCATGAGCCACCGCCATGGTTTGATCCAGGGTGCAGCTTCTTTTCTTTTCTTTTCTTTTTTTTGAAACAAAGTCTCACTCTGTCACCCAGGATGGAGCAGGATGGAGTGCAGTGGCGTGATCTTGGCTCACTGCAGCCTTGACTTCCCAGACTCAGGTGATCCTCCTACCTCAGCCTCCAGAGTAGCTGGGATCACAGGAGCGTGCCACCATACCTGGCTAATTTTTTTATTTTAATTTTTTTAAGACGGAGTCTGGTTCTGTCGCCCAGGCTGGAGTGCAGTGGTGCGATCTCAGCTCACTGCAAGCTCCGCCTCCTGGGTTCACGCCATTCTCCTGCCTCAGCCTCTCGAGTAGTTGGGACTACAGGCGCCTGCCACCATGCCCGGCTAACTTTTTTTTTGTATTTTTAGTAGAGACGGGGTTTCAACGTCTTAGCCAGGATGATCTCGATCTCCTGACCTCGTGATCTGCCCTCCTTGGCCTTCCAAAGTGCTGGAATTACAGGCATAAGCCACCATGCCCGGCCCTAATTTTTTATATTGTTTGTAGAGATGGGGTTTCACCATGTTGCCCAGGCTGGTCTTGAACTCTTGGGCTCAAGTGATCTGCTTGCCTCAGCCTCCCAAGTGCTGGGATTATAGGAATGAGCAACCACGCCCACCACACCTGGCTAATTTTTTTTTCACACCTGGCTAATTTTTAAAAAAATTTTAATAGATAACAAGGTCTCACTGTGTTTTG
The DNA here is from genome assembly GCF_000001405.40 of Homo sapiens. Classification (NCBI taxonomy): domain Eukaryota; kingdom Metazoa; phylum Chordata; class Mammalia; order Primates; family Hominidae; genus Homo; species Homo sapiens. The sequence goes on from NC_000012.12 coordinate 110,509,483, forward strand.
GAAGCTGGTCTCAAACTCCTGAGCCAGGCAGTCCTCTTGCCTCAGCCTCCTAATGTGCTGGAATTACAGGTGTGAGCCACCATGCCCAGCCTGGGATGGCAGTCTAAGATGAAGGAGAAGTGTGAAAAAATACCGGTTGAGGGTGTCTAGTGTGTGCTTATAAGAAAAAAGGAAGAAAACAAGTAGCAAGAATAGAGCATTGGGGATGACAAAGAAAAGACACTTCTCAGCTTGCACATCCTCAGCAATACCAATATTCACTTGATTCAAATATTTGTTATACAGGTATAAACACACTTATATATGTATAGGTTATTTCTAAAGAACACCTAAGAAACTGGTAGCAGTAGTTGCTTCTGTGTAGGTTCTAGGGTGGCAGGAGTCAGGGATGGAGGGTGACTCACTCTCACTGTTCTTTTATATCTTTTGCATTTTGTCCCATGTGCATCTATTACCTATTCCACCAAAAGTAACTTGAAAATATTTTTTAAATACGTAAAATATGTCATCTTTTGAGCTTTGTGTCTTCTCAAAACAGCAGTCACAGTGATCCCTTTAAAATAGGTCATATTATGTCACTTCGGTGCTCAAAACTCTCCCAGTAGCTCCCCATTTTACCCAGGGTAAAAGCCAAAGATCTCAGAATGGCCTATAAGGTCCTCCATGATTCAGAAGCCCTGGCATGTTTCCTCCTCAGGGTGTATGCCCTGCTCCCTTGCCTACTGTTTTATTCATTTATTTTCTTGCTATCTATCTCCCCTCTGTAAAATGTTAGCCCTGTGAAGACAGATTTTTGTCTGATTTGTTCTCTGCTAGTTCCAGCTCCTAAAATAGTCCCTTATGTGGTAGATCACAAAAAAAATTGTCACCAATTATCTGCAGCCCCTCCCTTCAATACCTGGAGATGTTTCCTCATTTTGAATTTCACCCGGCCTTAGATTTGCTTTGATACCGGTAGAATGCACCATAAGTGTTATTGTGTGAGTTCCGAGCTGAGTCCTGTCAGCTTCCACTGTTGCCCTAAGAACCTTTCCACCAGCATGAGAACAAGCATGGAATAGCTTTCTGGAGGATTAAAGAATAGGTGAGAGGCCTTAGCCATCTCAGTTGTCCCAGTTGAGGCCCCAGACATGAAAGTGAGGCCATCCTAGCTACCCCACAGGGATATTGTGAGGATCAGAGAGAATGTATGTAATATGTATGCTACAGTTCCTGGCACATAGGTTCATACTCATTATTGCTACCTCTCCTCTTCCTCTAAAAGGACAATAATTCAGCCTCGGCAACATGGAGAAACCTTGTCTCTACCAAAAATACAAAAATTAGCCAGGTGTGGTAGAGTGCGCCTCTAGTCCCAGCTACTGGGGAGGTTGAGATGGGAGGATCACTTGAGCCCAGGAGTTGGAGGTTGCAGTGAGTTGAGATCACACCACAACAGTCTAGCCTTGGCAACAGGTTGAGACCCTGTCAAAAAAAAAAGAAAGAGAGAAAGGAAGAAGGAGGGAAGGAAGAGAGAAGAGGAGAGAAAAGAAAAGAAAAGAATTAACAAACCAGATGTTGAAATCTGTCAAAAGTCCTGTTTAGAAATATCAGTCCTGGATGGAGGGTACTGAAAGAGAGTAATAGAGATATGATCTGTAGTCTGCAATCACTATTTTACACGCAATTTAAGAAACTACCTGTATTTTGGAGATTTCTTAAAAAACTAAAAATAGAAGTACCACATGATCCAGCAATCCCACTACTGAGTCTTTATCCAAAGGAAAAAAAAATATATCAAAGAAATACCTACATCCCTGTGTTTATTGCAGCACCATTTATAATAGCAAAGTTACGGAATCAAGCTAAGTGTCTATTAGTGGACTAATGGATAAAGAAAATGTAGTATATATACACAATGGAATACTATTTGGCCATAAAAATAATGAAATCTTGTCATTTGCAGCAACGTGGATGGAACTAGAGGTCACTATGTTAAGTGAAATAAGCCAGGCATGGAAAGTCAAGTATTGCATGTTCTCACAATGTGGACGCTAAAAAGTTGATCTCATGGAGGTAGAGAGTAGAATGGTAGATACCAGAGGCTGGTAATGGTGTGTGGGTGAGTATGAAGAGAGGTTGGTCAGTAGGTACAAACATACAGTTAGGTAGAAGGAATAAGTTCTAATGTGGGGTAGCAGAGTAGGGTGACTATAAGTTAGCAGCGGTGTATTCTGTGTTTCAACGTAGCTAAAAGAGAGGACTTAAAATGTTCTTAACACATAGAAATGATAAATACTTGAGGTGATGGACACCCCAAATATCCTGGCTTGATAATTACACAGTCTGTGCATGTAACAAAATATCTGTCACATGTACCCCATACATTTTTTCTTTTTTTTTTGAGACAGAGTCTCGCTCTGTTGTCAGGCTGGAGTGCAGTGGCACGATCTCGGCTCACTGCAACCTCCACCTCCTGGGTTCAAGTGATTCTCCTGCCTCAGCCTCCCAAGTAGCTGGGATTACAGGCGCATGCCACCACGCCCGGCTAGTTTTTTATATTTTAGTAGAGACGGAGTTTCACCATGTTGGCCAGGATTGTGTCTATCTCCTGACCTCATGATCCGCCCGCCTCAGCCTCCCAAAGTGCTGGGATTACATGCGTGAGCCACCGTGCCTGGCCTTTTTTTTTTTTTTCTTTTTGAGACAGAGTCTCACTCTGTCACCCAGGCTGGAGTGTACAGTGGCACAATCTTGGCTCATGGCAACCTCTGCTTCCCAGGTTCAAGTGATTCTTGTGCCTCAGCCTCCCAGGTAGCTGGGATTACAGGCATGCACCACCATGCCCGACTGATTTTTGTATTTTTAGTAGAGACAGGGTTATGCCATGTTGACCAGGCTGGTTTTGAACTCCTGGCCTCAAGCGATCCACCTGCCTTGGCCTCCCAAAGTGCTGGGATTACAGGCATGAACCACCGTGCCTGGCCACATGTACCCCATAAATATTTTAAAATACCATGTATCAATAAAAATATATTAACAAAAGAAGAACAAGAAGAAGAAGGAAACTGCTTGTATTTCAAAGGAGTCTGGGAACTCTCCTGCCTGATTGGTCAGAAGGTATGACATATTGCTTGGTGTCCACTAGGGAGCGATAAACACATTTAATTAAGGAATAGTGCTTCTCCAAGGTATATGCACTTGCCAGATAGTAAATGTTACTTTATTACTTTAATTTGGCTGTGAAACTTAAAGACTTCTTTAATTTGTTAGTTTTGTACTTAAAATTATTAAGAGGTGGCTTTATTCTTTTTAAGGTATTAAAAGAACTCATAATATATGTTTTCAAGAAAGTCAGCCTTTGCAAGTTATTTTTGACAAGAATGTTTGTACTAATACGCTAATGATTCAACCAAGGTAATGAGTTCTCTGTTGTCAGTTTTTTTCACCTGAATACAGTATGATCATGGAGTGAAGAATCAATGCCCTAGAGCTTTTCAGTCGGCACATTTTTTTTTTTTTTATATGGAGTCTCGCTGTGTCGCCCAGGCTGGAGTGCAGTGGCGCGATCTTGGCTCATTGCCAGCTCCGCCTCCTGGGTTGACACCAGTCTCCTGCCTCAGCCTCCCGAGTAGCTGGGACTACAGGCGCCCACCGCCACTCCTGGCTAATTTTTTTGTATTTTTAATAGAGACGGGGGGTTTTACCGTGTTAGCCAGGATGGTCTTGATCTCCTGACCTCGTGATCCACCTGCCTTGGCCCCCTAAAGTGCTGGTATTACAGGCGTGAGCCACCACGCCCTGCCATTACATTTTTTTTTTTTAAGCTGAAATTTGACTTGGAGAAATCACCATACAGGGACAAGAGGAAACTTTGTTAAAGATAATAGTGGATAATAACTAATGGTAGCTATAATAATTTAGTGACCCAAGAAAGTTCTAAAAACACCCCATCAGTGGCTTTCTATATCAAGTTGCATTTATATGGTTCTTGTCTGAATCTTAAAACACAGAGCTTGAGGAAATTTTAACATTTTTTATGTGAAATGATTTTGGCCCTAAGTATTAACAGTTTTTTCCTCTAGATAATGAGTAAGGCATATATGTCTTGAAATTTGAAACTTGAAACCTGTTATTTGAAAGTGCATCCAGTTTTCAGTTCAGCTGTAGCATTAAACATTAATGAACATTACTTTGTGAGCCAAATGATATTTTATCCATATTGTTTTTATATTATTATTATTATTATTATTATTATTATTATTATTATTATTATTTTTGAGACAGAGTCTCCCTCTGTTGCTCAGGCTGGAGTGCAGTGATGTGATCTTGGCTCACTGTAACCTCCACCTCCTGGGTTCAAACAATTCTTGTGCCTCAGCTTCCCGAGTAGCTGGGACTACTAGTGCAAGCCACCATGCCTGGCTAATTTTTGTATTTTTTTATAGAGACGGGGTTTCGCCATGTTGCTCAGGCTGATTGAGACAAACTTCTGAGTTCAAGTGATCCATCTGCCTTAGCCTCCCAAAGTACTGGGATTACAGGCGTGAGCTACCACATCTGGTCCCTTCCTTCCTTCCTTCCTTCCTTCCTTCCTTGCTTCCTTCCTTCCTCCCTTCCTTTTTGAATTGCCCATTCATGTTGTCATTTTTTTTGTATCAAATTATTTGGTATCTTGTATAACTGCCCCCGCTTAACACTGGAAAAGTTCCCAAATGAATTTTGTAGGTGTTCCTGACATTTTGATAGCAAGAAACACCGTTAAACCAATGTCTAACATCAGATTAACAACAAGATTACATAAATTCTAAGAATTTTATTTTATCTTAATAATATCTCAATGTCAAAAGGAGTGCAGAATTTATAATACAATAATAAAAAGACAGCCCAGCTGTAAAAAATAAGTAAAGGATTTTAATAGTCATTTCTTCAAAGAAAATATCAGTAAGCACCTGAAAAGATGCCCAACATCATTAGTCATTAGGGAAATGCAAATCAAACAATTTTCAATCTGTGAATTATGTCATATGGGAATTATATCTCAATAAAACTGTTTTTGAAAAAAGGAGCCAGAATAAAAGGGCATTTGGGATGTCAAGAGAACCTTGAAAGCAACAGGTAACAGTCGAGGAAAGGAGCAAAGGGAAAGAATATAGGCAGCAGGCTGCTTAGAAACCTCTGCCCCCACATCTAGGTCTCCAGCATAATTCACCTGAGTTGTTTTTGAACAGCTTCACTTTCCAGTATCTCCCTTTACAGTATGATCTAGGGCATAAGTAACTGGGCATACAAAAACATATAATTAAAGATATTTTATTCTGGAATTTTGTTTGTACTGCAGCGTTCATGTGTTTTACTAAGGATATATTTTGCTATTCTCTTGGCCTTCAAATGAAGTTATAATTTTAAAATATGCTGAAAATATAGCAGCTATGTATAAGAAAGAAGGTAGGAGTTTGGGTAAATTTTTCTAAACCCAGGCCAAGTAATTATTTATTTCCAGATTAGAGATTTGAGTCCCAGTTAATAAGGTATGTCTTTCTGTTTGTTTTTCAAATAATGTTAATACTGTTCTTTACATTTTATAGATTGCTTGCTGATGCCATTGTTCTTTTTACATCAAGTCAAGAGGAAGTTACTCTTGCTGTTACTCCACTGAATTTTTGCCTCAAGAGTTCTAATGAGGAATCAATGGGTAAAGATTGTATCTGAAATGGTGTTTTGATGGGTTATTACTTCCTGTCTCTCGATTACTAACCATACTGCAAATATTAGTGACATAATTTTATTCCTGTCTAAAAAGCAGTAAGATGTAGAAAGGTTGGAAAAAGCTTTAAGAGATCCAACAAGTTTAACACAATCAGCAATTAAAATATTTGGCTTTGAAATTCAGGGTGTTTTAAAACTAGGAGAATGGGGCCAGGTGCTGTGGCTCACGCCTGTAATCCCAGCATTTTGGGAGGCTGAGGCAGGTGGATTACCTGAGGTCGGGAGTTCGAGACCAGCCTGGCCAACATGGCGAAAACCCATCTCTACTAAAAATAAAAAAATTAGCTGGGTGTGGTGGCTCAGGCCTGTAATCCCAGCTACTCAGGAGGCTGAGGCAGGAGAATCGCTTGAACCCGGGAGGTGGAGGTTGCAATGAGCCAAGATTGCACCATTGCACTCCATTGCCTGGGCGACAGAGACTCTGTCTCAAATAAAAGAAAAAAGAAAATTTGCTACGGTCTTTTGGCACAACAAGCTGTTTGAGACTCTTTGACCTTAGATAATATGTTTTTGGTGACAGCAGTAAGGAGAGGATACAAAGGAAAGAACTATTATTTTAAAGTGAAAAACCAGGGCTTAAGTTGGGTCACATGACTTTTGTAGTGTTTGTGCCAGGTTCTGTTCTAAATAGTTTGCATTTATGAAGTCATTTGATCTTCATAACAACTCTAAGATGTATGTAGGTACTATTATTATCCCCATTTTACATATGAAGAAATTGAAAGCACATATAAAGCACATATGAAGCAGTTGGACACTTTGGGAGGCTGAGGCAGAAGGATCACTTGAGGGGAGTTACCAGCCTTGGCAACATAGTGACACCTCATCTTTACAAAACATAAGAAAAATAGCCAGGCATGGTGGTGCACACCTGTAGTGTCAGCTACTTGGTAGGCTAAGGTGGAAGGATTGCTTGAGCCCGTAAGTTTGAGACTGCAGTGAGCCATGATTGTGCCACTGCACTCCAGCCCAGGCAAGACAGCAAGATCTTGTCTCAAAAAAAAAAAAATTGAAGCACAGAGAAACTGTGGCTTGCCTGGTGTCACAAATTGCCTAGTGAAAGGGTCTGTTTTATGTACCATCATGCCATCTCTGAATAAAGATGGCCATTTAGTAGCCAGGAGAAACTGTCCCTTGTGAGTAGCTTTCTAATGAAGTTATAGTTGACTGGCAATCTAGTTGTTTAATCTTATTATTAAACTTCTTCTATGCTAGTATATTAGGAGTGACATGAGCCTTCTTGTTGGAGATGAATGTATATTTAAGACATTGTTTGATCCTTTAAAAAATATATCATTTGGCCGGGTGCGGTGGCTCACGCCTGTAATCCCAGCACTTTGGGAGGCTGAGGCAGGCGGATCATGAGGTCAGAAGATCGAGACCATCCTGGCCAACATGGTGAAACCCCGTCTCTATTAAAATACAAAAAATTAGTGGGGCGTGGTGGTGTGCACCTATAGTCCCAGCTACTTGGGAGGCTGAGACAGGGGATTAATCACTTGAACCTGGGAGGCGGTGGTTGCAGTGAGCCAAGATCACGCCACGGCACTCCAGCCTGGCGACAGAGCAAGACTCTGTCTAAAATAATAATAATAATAAATATGTATATATATATCACTCAATCTTTGTTCTTACTACTTATATAATTGATATTCATTGAAGAAAATTAAAAATACAAAAAAAATTTTTTAAGTCACCTGATATCCCACTATACAGAGATAAGCACTTTTAATAGTTGGGTATATCTCCTTCTATACTTTAGATCTCACAACAGGAGATTGAGTGAAGATAATGAAATACTATGAAACTATTAAAAGTAACATTGGCCAGGTACAATGGCTCACCCCTGTAATCCTAGTGCTTTGGGAGGCTGAGGCAGGATTGCTTGAGGCCAGGAGTTCAGACCAGCCTGGCCAACACAGCAAGATCCCATCTCTACAAAAATAAAAAATTAGCCAGGTATGGTGGCATGCACCTGTAGTCTATGCTGCAGCAGCTGAGGCAAGGGGATCACTTGAGCTCAAGATTTCAAGGTTGCAGGTGAGCTATGATCATGCCACTGTATTACAGCCTGGGCAACAGAGTGAGACCCAGTCTCAAAAAAAATTAATGGGCCGGGCGTGGTGGCTCATGCCTGTAATCCCAGAACTTTGGGAGGCCGAGGAGGGCTGATCACCTGAGGTCAGGGGTTTGAGACCAGCCTGGCCAACATGGTGAAACCCTTTCTCTACTAAAAATACAAAATTAGCTGGACGTGGTGGTGTGTGCCTATAGTCCCAGTTACTCAGGGGGCTGAGGCAGGAGAATCGCTAGAATCTGGCAGGTGGACCTTGCACTGAGTCGAGATCACACCACTGGACTCCAGCTTGGGCAACAGAATGAGACTCCATCTCAAAAAAAAAATAATAAAAACATTAAAGTAATGTTATATGTGTATGTATAAATACATTCCTCTCTCTCTGAGGGTATGTATCAGAGAGGTTTAATGAAGCAATTTTGTAGTGGAAAACACAAAACATTGACACACACACACACACACACACACACACACACACACACAAATAATTATAAAAATGTGCTTATTGACATGGAAAAATAGCCAAGATATATTGATATATTATTGGGTAGATTATGAAATGGTATGTAGGGTAAGATTGTACTTTCATTTAAAAATATGGCCAGGCGCAGTGGCTCACGCCTGTAATCCCAGTACTTTGGGAGGCTGAGGCGGGTGGATCACGAGGTCAGGAGATCGAGACCATCCTGGCTAACACAGTGAAACCCCATCTCTACTAAAAGAAATACAAAAAATTAGCCGAGTGTGGTGGTGGGCGCCTGTAGTCCCAGCAACTCGGGAGGCTGAGGCAAGAGAATGGCGTGAACCCGGGAGGCACAGCTTGCAGTGAGCCGAGATTGTGCCACTGCACTCCAGCCTGGGCAACAGAGTGAGACTCCGTCTCAAAAGAAAAAAAAAAAAAGTTAAAAATGTGCATGTAAGTGGCAGATGCCTGTAGTCCCGGCTATTCAGAAGACTGAGGCAGAGGATCACTTGAGCCCAGGAGGTCAAGGCTGCAGTGAGCTGTGATCATGCCACTGCACTCCAGCCTGGGCAACACAGTAAGACCCTCTCTCAAAAAGAAGAAAACAAAAAATTTATTAATTAACTTAGATAAGAAATCTGGTATTTAAACATAAACAGTTTAATTTATGTGAAATGGACTTATAGACCCTGAATCATTGGGTAGTTTAAGAGAAATGTAAAATATTAAATTTCTCTTTTGAACAAAGGCATTTAAAAATAGCATGCAGATATCAGGTGGGGAAGTTAGGGTACGTAGGGCAGGAGGAAATGGGATGGGATTTGGGAGACCAGAAAAATTCTTTTTTCCTCTAAATTCATCTCTGGAACTAATTTTATTCTTTATTTTCCCATAATATTAAACAGATTTGAGCAATGCTGTACACAGTGAGATGTTTGTTGGCTCAGATGAGTTTGACTTCTTTCAAATTGGAATGGACACTGAGATAACATTTTGTTTCAAAGAATTGAAGGTAAATAAAGATTTGTATCAATTTAAAATTCAAATTTTCACTGTAAGTTTTTATAAGGATTTTAAGTTTTTTTCTTCTTTTCTTTTTTCAGGGAATACTGACATTTTCAGAAGCTACACATGCTCCTATATCCATTTATTTTGATTTCCCTGGGAAGTAGGTCCTTGAGAATTTTTCTGAGCTTGTTTCTTTTGTTTTATATCAATAACAAAACCTTTTGGATCACTTTGAAATTAATTAACACCTCAGGAATACCTAAACTTTACTATTAATACTTATCAAACTAAAATTTTGAAAGATGCTAAAACATGGCATTTAAAATTTTCTTTTTTCTTTTTTCAGACGGAGTCTCACTCTGTCGCCCAGGCTGGAGTGCAGTGGCATGATCTCGGCTTACTGCAGGCTCTGCCTCCCGGGTTCAAGCAATTCTACTGCCTCAGCCTCCCAAGTAGCTGGGATTACGGGCGTCTACCACCATGCCTGGCTAATTTTTGTATTTTTGGTAGAGACGGGGTTTCACCATGTTGGCCAGGCTGGCCTTGAACTCCTGATTTCAAGAGATCCACCAGCCTCGGCCTCCCAAAGTGCTGGGATTACAGGCGTGAGCCATAGCACCCGGCCTACTGTTTGTTGTTGTTGTTGTTGTTGTTGTTGTTGTTGTTGTTGAGATGGAGTTTTGCTTTTGTTGCCCAGGCTGGAGTGCAATGGTGCAATCTCAGCTCACTGCAACCTCCGCCTCCCAGGTTCAAGTGATTCTTCTGCCTTAGCCTCTTGAGTAGCTGGGATTACAGGCATGCACCATCATGCCCGGCTAATTTTTTTTTTGTATTTTTAGTAGAGACGGGGTTTCTTCATGTTGGTCAGGCTGGTCTCAAACTCGCAACCTCAGATGATCCACCCGCCTTGGCCTCCCCTGTTTCTTTTTAGTCCAGAATTAAGTATCATTTCTAATGTGTTTCTAATGTCCATCAGAAAATGAGTGTCACTGTTGCTCTGACTTGGCTTTTTTAGACCTCTGGCTTTGAGTATTGATGATATGTTAGTGGAAGCTAACTTTATTTTGGCCACATTAGCTGATGAACAAAGTAGAGCATCTTCACCACAGTCACTGTGTCTTTCACAGAAACGAAAAAGGTAAGACTGTGTTTTAACTTCTTTATTACTTGGGACAAGCCATCATAATCTTATTTTGAAATAATTCACTTGCATTCACTTAGGAAACAATTGAGGAGTGAAATATTAGTTAACAAATTTTGACTGAATACAGAAGAGCTGTAGTGAAACTTACCTGTAGCATAGAAACATCACCAATCTCGTGTCAGATATTTGCTTTTTCTGTTCTGACCAGAATTGAACAAGACTGTCTGGTTTATCTGTGTTGTTTCCCAGAACTCAATTCCAATTTTTAGTTTTTGTTGTTGTTGTTGTTGTTGTTATTGTTTTAGACAAGGTCTCACTCCCATTGCCCAGGCTTGAGTGCTCTGGCGCAATCTCAAGTCACTGCAGCCTCCATTTCCCTGGCTCAAGTGGTCCTCCCACCTCAGCCTCCCAAGTAGCTGGGACTATAGGCATGTGCCACCACACCCAGCTAATTTTTTGTATTTTTTTTTGTAGAGACAGGGTTTCACCATGTTGCCCAGGCTGGTCTCAAACTTCTGGGCTGAAGCCATCCACCTGCCTCAGCCTCCCAAAGTGCTGGGATTACAGGTGTGAGTCACCACATCGGGCCTTTAGTTTTTTTTTTTGTTTTTTTTTAGGGGTAATATAGTGTTTTCACAGGAAAGTCTATATTCACTTCCTAGAACTTTTGCTCAGATATAGGGATAGCCATTGCTTTCTTGCTTTCTTTTTTTTTTTTTTTTTTGTTGTTTTTTTTTTGTTTTTTTGAGACAGAATCTCACTCTGTTGCCCAGGCTGGAGTGCAGTGGCATGATCTCAGCTCACTAAAACCTCCACCCCCTGGGTTCAAGCAATTCTCCTGCCTCAGCCTCCCTAGTCGCTGGGATGACATGTGTGCACTAACACGCCTGGCTAATTTTTGTGTTTTTAGTAGAGACGGGGTTTCACTATGTTGGTCAGGCTGGTCTCGAACTCCTGACCTTGTGATCTGCCCGCCTCAGCCTCCCAAAGCGCTGGGATTACAAGCATGAGCCACTGCGCCTGGCTTTTTTTTCTTTCTTAATTTCTTTTCTTTTGGGGGAAGAATGATGCTTTATTGTAAAAGTTATTTCAGGAAATTTGGAAAATAGAGAAAAGTACAAAGAAGAAAATAAAACTTACTCATAATTGCATCACCCAGAGATAGCCACTGTAACATTCTGGCTCACTGCATTTTCTTTCAGACTTAATTTTGTGTATACTTGTATTTTCAAATTTTTTAAAAAAATTTTTTGAGACAGGGTCTCACTCTGTCACCCAGGCTGGAGTGCAGTAGCACAGTCATAGCTCATCATAGTCTCAACCTCCCAGGCTGAAGCATTCCACCTCAGCCTCCTGAGTAACCAGGACTACAGGCACCTGCCACCACACCCAGCTAATTTTTGTGTTTTTTGTAGAGATCGGGTTTTACCATGTTGCCCAGGCTGGTCTCTTAACTCCTGGGCTCAAGCAGTCTACCTGCCTCGGCCTCCCAGAGTGCTAGGATTACAGATGTGAGCCACTGCACCCGGCCTATCCTTGTATTTTAAAACAAGATTAGGATCATAGAGCATATGCGGTTTTGGTATTGTGGGTGTGTTTCAATATCACTGATAATGACTTGAAAACATAATTCTTTTTTTTTTTTTTTTTTTGAGTCAGAGTCTCGCTTTGTCACCCGGGCTGGAGTGCAGTGGCGCCATCTCAGCTCATTGCAACCTCCGCCTCCTGGGTTCAAGCAGTTTTCTGCCTCAGCCTCCAGAGTAGCTGGGATTACAGGTGCCTGCCACCACGCCCGGCTAATTTTTTTGTATTTTTAGTAGAGACGAGGTTTCACCATCTTGGCCCTGCTGGTCTTGGACTCCTGACCTCGTGATCCACCCCCCTTGACCTCCCAAAGTGTTGGGATTACAGGCGTGAGCCACCGTGCCCGGCCGAAAACATGATTCTTAATGACTGTACACAATTTTATCATATAGATGTATAGTAATTTACTTGACTTTTCCCCTAACTTGCTCCTGTTACCATATCACAAGATATTCTATGCACAATGAGTTGCTTTACTGAAAGATTGTCTGTCAAGAGAATTTATAAATGATCATATATATAAATTTTAACTTGCAACAATTTAGTTCCATGTATTTCAATATATTCCCTAATCCAGTGCTATCATTGTCATCCCACATTGTCCATTAGTTATATAAAAATATATTTCACAATAAACAGTTCATTCATTTAATGCCTATTAATACCTCAGGTCAGATCTGATTGAAAAAAAGGCTGGCAAAAATGTAACTGGCCAGGCCCTGGAATGTATTTCAAAAAAAGCAGCACCAAGAAGGCTTTATCCTAAGGAGACTCTCACAAACATATCTGCATTGGAAAACTGTGGCAGCCCTGCAATGAAAAGAGTGGATGGAGATGTCAGTGAAGTATCAGAAAGCAGTGTCAGCAACACAGAGGAAGTGCCAGGGTCTCTGTGTCTCAGAAAGGTAAAAGCATTGAGATTCAACCACATCTCAGTCAAGAATTCTCATCTGTCTCCCTTTGCAGTCTTCCTCCCCAATCCCCACCCAGCCATGTTCTGAAAATTGATTTTCTTATTTTTTGATAGGGGAAAAGTGAAGCTAGTCTGAATTATAGAATGAAGAAAAGTCTGATAGAGAAAAGTCTGATTTACAGAATATCAATAGAAAATAGTTAAATTGTTCAGTCAGTAATTTCTAACAAAGCATATTCAAGTAGAGGTTTGGGTCACTTGTTTCCAAGAATAAATTATGATTTTTTTATGGTATATTCTATCTTGAATAACAATAATATGCTGAGATCATATAAATAATTTGTTTCCTAAAATGTTTCCTTCTAATTTTACTTTTCAAATTTGTTTGGTAAATCTTGTATTCATAATAGTACAAACGTAAATTTCATCCCAACAAATATCACAAATTCCTTCATAGTGGAGTCCCAGTTAATAACATCTTATTCTATAAGATAGATGATAAGCTTTACAGAATGCTGTAGTGTTAAACCTTACGAAATCTACTGAACTGAAGGTAAGCAATGTATTAGAAACTGAAGTATCTCAAATATTGATAATCCTAATTTTACTTGTTTAATGTTTTGTTCAAGCTTGTTTTGCTGTTGTTATTGTTGGTTTGGAGATATGAGTTTCTTAGTTAGAATTAGAAATTTGAAAGCAAAAATAATATTTTTGAAAGTTACCATCACCATCTTGGCTGGGTGCAGTGACTCACGCCTGTAACCCCGGCCCTTTAGAAGGCCAAGGAGGGAAGATCTCTTGAGCTACGAGTTCAAGACCAGCCTAAGTGACAGAGTGAGACCCCATCTCAACAAAAACTTAAATATTAGCCAGATGTGGTGGCTGTAGACCTAGCTGCTGAGGAGGTTGAAGTGGGAGGATCTCTTGAGCCCAGTAGTTCAAGGCTTCAGTGAGCTATGATCGCACAACTGCACTCCAGCCTGGGCAACAGAGTGAGACACTGTTTCTTAAAAAAATAAAAAATTCACCATATTACGCTGTATATGACTTTTAGGGCAGAATTTGATTAGTAAACTGGACTTAGTTTGATACCATAGGTGTTTATTGAGTACTTGTTATATTCCCAACACTTAGGGCAATTTTCTCTTCCTGTATGTTACTAAGTTGGCCATAAAATGAAAACTGAAATCTGTGTTCTCATTGTACAAAAGCATTGTCCCCTCCTATTTTTCTAGTCACACATATTGTACTTACTTTTTCACAGGCAACAACAGGAATCATCTTCCTGCTGCTTCAGGTCCCTGAAATTCACTAAGATTGCCAGTTTCTTTGCTAGAGAAAATGACATTTAGAACTTTAATCTCCATGAGCACCATTACAGCACTCTTTACTCCAAATTTCCTATTGTGTCACCAAATTCTTGAAAGAAGGCTCTATTTTTAAAGGGAATTATTTGCCTTAATGTGGCAAACTCCTGCAAAGCTGAAATTACATTATGGGTAAATGATGTAGACCCTTATCATGTTCTGCCTGAAATTCCATGGGCTTCCTGCCATCCTCTGTGCCTCTGTTCTCCTTCACCCTGCTTCTCTTCCACAGTGTACTCATAGATTTTTGTCCAAACCTGAGGTCTACAGTGAGGCCCAGGGGTTCAGAGCCCTGGCTCTAGAGTTCAAATGCCAAGGTTCAAACCTCTCTCTTACCACGTATTAACTGCGTAACTTGGACAAGTTATTTATTTTGCCTTCAGTTTCCTTAGTAAAATGGGGGTAATAATAATTATGCCCACTAAATGGAATTGTAAAGATTGAGCTAAAGATGCAACAGGCACATGGTCAGTGCTTGATAAAATTTAGTTATTGGCTGGGCACAGTGTCTCATGCCTGTAATCCCAGCACTTTGGGAGGCAGAGGCGGGCAGATCACGAGGTCAGGAGTTCAAGACCAGCCTGGCCAAGATTGGTGAAACCCTGTCTCTACTAAAAATACAAAAATAAGCTGGGCATGGTGGCGGGCGCCTGTAATCCCAGCTACTCAGGAGGCTGAGGCAGGAGAATTGCTTGAATCCGGGAGGCGGAGATTGCAGTGAGCTGAGATCGTGCCATTGCACTCTAGCCTGGGCGACAGAGCAAGACTCCGTCTCAAAAAGAAAAAAATTATTGTTGTTACTTATCACTCTCTTGCTTTTAAAACTCTTAGATTGGCCGGCGTGGTGGCTCATGCCTGTAATCCCAGCATTTTGGGAGGCCGAGGTGGGCAGATCACAAGGTCAAGAGATCGAGACCATCCTGGCCAACATGGTGAAACCCCGTCTCTACTGCGAATACAAAAATTAGCCAGATATGGTTGGCCAGGCTGGTCTCAAACTTCTGGCCTCAAGTGATCTGCCTGCCTTGGCCTCCCAAAATGCTGGGATTACAGGCATGAGTCACTGTGCCTGGCCTCCACATTTAATATTCAGTATAACAGTACAATGATCATTTCATTGAACAAAAATCAGAAAATACAAATAAGAGATAATCACTTCAAATATTTTGATTATTACTCTGCCTTTAAGACTTTCTTCTTTTTATTTATTTGGTTTTTTTTAGACGGAGTTTCATTTTCGCCCAGGCTAGATTGCAGTGGTGCAATCTGGTTCACTGCAACCTCCACCTCCCGGGTTCAAGTGATTCTCCTGCCTCAGCCTCCTGAGTAGCTGGGAATACAGGTGCCTACCACCACGCCCAGCTAATTTTTTTGTATTTTTTTTAGTAGAGACGGGGTTTTACCATGTTGGCCAGGATGGTCTCGATCTCCCGACCTCAGGTGATCCACTCGCCTTGGCCTCCCAAAGTGCTGGGGTTACAGGTGTGAGCCACTGTGTCTGGCCAGTTTTTGTATTTTTAGTAGAGACGGGGTTTCACCATGTTGCCCAGGCTGGTCTCAAACTCCTGACCTCAAGTGATCCGCCCTCCTTGGCTTCCCAAAGTGCTGGGATTACAGGTATGAGCCACTGCACCCAGCCCGCTTTGTCCTTTACTTTGACATTTTAGTAGAATGTCCTAACTTTGGGTTTTTTCTGTGTTTCCTCATGATTCAATTTAAACTATGTATTTTTGGTAAGAATTCAACAGAGTAATAATGTTGGGTTCTCTTTGTACATCGTATCTGGAGGCACAGGTTGGTTTTTCTCCATATTGGTGGTGTTAATTTCCATCATATGGTCAAGGTGGTGTCTGCCGGCTCTCTACTATATAGTTACTGTTTTTCTTTTAGCAACTGGTAAGTATTTTGTGGAGAGATACTTTGATACTATGTCTCACTCTGTTGCCTAGGCTGGAGTGCAGTGGCATGATCTTGGCTCACTGCAACCTCTGCCACTCGGGTTCAAGTGATTCTCCTACCTCAGCCTCTCGAGTAGCTGAGATTACAGGCGCCTGTCACCACACCTGGCTAATTTTTGTAGTTTTTAGTAGAGACAGGGTTTCACCATCTTGGCCAGGCTGGTCTTGAACTCCTGACCTCGTGATCCACCCGCCTTGGCCTCCCAAAGTGCTGGGATTACAGGCGTGAGCCACTGCACCTGGCCACGCCCAGCTAATTTTTGTATTTTTTTGGTAGAGCCAGGGTTTCACTGTGTTGGCCAGGCTGGTCTCGGACACCTGACCTCAGGTGATCCACCTGCCTTGGCCTCCCAAAGTCTGGGATTACAGGCATGAGCCACCCCGCCTGGCCTGCTGTGGATTTTTTATTAAGTTTAAACTAGAAGTTATACACAGCTCTCAGGGGCATCAAAATAGGGACAATATGTATATTAGTAAAAAAAAAAAGATTTTATAATTCTCTTCCTACCCAACTCATATTAGACTTGAAGTTAATTTCTAGTTGCATGGGTGTTCTCAAGCTTCCTCCATTAGATTACTAGACATGGAGAAGGGCCCCATTATCCAGCCATATGAGACTTACAGGCTGAAGGTGGGGACAAGGGAGGGTAGCAAATAGCATTTACTCTAAGCCAGTAGCAAATTCAGGGCAGCTCTCAAAGATTAAAGAAAACCTCAGCTTTCAAGTCTCATATAGCACCACAAACATTATCAAGAGCTATTTGCACGTGATGATATACACTGAACAGACACAGGTGCTGTATTTAGGTCTTTTCTAGCCTTAGGTTCTTGACCTTGGTGAAGACTAGACTCTTTAGAGGCAATTGAAACCATGCCTCCAATTGGTCGGGCACGGTGGCTCATGCCTGTAATCCCAGCACTTTGGGAGACCGAGACAGGCAGATCACGAGGTCAGGAGATCAAGACCATCCTAGCTAACACGGTGAAACCCCATCTCTACTAAAAATACAAAAAACTAGCTGGGTGTGGTGGCGGGCGCCTGTAGTCCCAGCTACTTGGGAGGCTGAGGCAGGAGAATGGCATGAACCCAGGAGGCGGAGCTTGCAGTGAGCTGAGATCATGCCACCGCACTCCAGCCTAGGCGACAGAACGAGACTCCATCTCAAAAAAAAAAAAAAAAGAAAAGAAACCATGCCTCCAATTATGGCCAGATCAGTATGTTAGTTTCCCAATGACCCTTTAACAAATTGCCACAAATTTAGTGGCTTGAAACAACATGAATTGAGTATCTTACAGTTCCAAAGGTCGGAAGTCCTAATTGGGTCTCAATGGGCTAAAATCAAGGTGTCATCAGAGCTGTGTTCCCTTCAGGAGACTCTGGGGGAGAATCTGCTTTCTTGCCCTTTCCAGCTTCTAGAGACCACTTCCATTCTTTGCTTTGTAGTTCTTTTCCAGCTTCAAAATCAGCAACGGCCGTTTTTTCCACACAGCCGCACTCTGACCTTAAGTCTTCTGTCTCCCTCTTCCATTTCTATGGATCGCTGTGATTACATTGGGCCCACCTGGCTATTCCACATCAGCAATTAGAAACCTTAATTCCAACTGCTACCTTAATTCCTCTTTGCAGTGTGACATAACATCTTCAGAGGTTCATGGGCTTAGTACATGGACCTCTGGGAACCATTTTCCTGCCTGCCACAGCCAGTATCACGGCTATCTGGAGAGCAGGTTCAACAGCTGCAAGGCAAGCCTTGCAGAGGGCATCTTCACCTTCTGAGACGTGAGGATGACCCAAGAACAGGGCTCATTCATTTGTTGTCTTGTGGTACTGTGCAGCTCCAAGTATTTCTTGAGAGCTGTGTCCTAGACAGCCATGCGAGGGATACTACAGTGAACAAAATAAACAAGCTTCCTCAACTTGTTTAGAGACTAGAGCGGGTATCACGTATCGGGACTAGGGTATAGGTATAACATGACTAAATATATAATTTTTGAAAGGCTGTGTTTAGTTCAATAAAGGAGAAGTTCAGGGTGCTTGGAGAAGATTTAATGGTATGTACTGCCTTAATCCAGGTCAGAACGTCTTCCCCTTGAAACTGGTGTTTGAGCTGAGCTGGAAAGGATGAGGGCATGGGGGTGGGAGTAGAGCTCAGGGAGGGCGGCCTGTGCAAAGGCCCCAGCAGGGGAGGGAGCCTGGGGGCTTGAAGGAGCTGAGGGATGGCCACTGTGGTTGGAGATCAGAGCCAGAGGGAGACAGTGGCACAAGGGGAGGCTAGAGTGCTTGGTAAGAGCCAGATCATGCTGGAGAGTCCTGGAAGCTGTGCAAGCGGCCAAAGTACCTGGGTATTTAAAATATTTGAATGGCTTTACCTGGGAGGGCTGACAGACTGAATGTTGACTGGATGACTTTAGCTGAAAGTGTTATATGAAAAACGGGCTTCAGTGAGGCAATAGTCACCCAATTGTAGCATCTGAGAGATGGTGATTACTTAGATGAGAAGTGGAGAGAGGCGGCTGAAATAGTTCATTTAGGAGCCAAAACTAGCAGGACTTGGTGATGGATTGGTTATGGGGGTTAAGGAAAAAGGTATCCAGGGAGGTCTTAGGTTTGGAGAAGTAGATTCAGGGCTTAGTAAGATCATGAATTCAGTTTTGGATATGTTAAGGGAATGCTAATTGCATGTAGCGGGTAAAGACCCGCAGTGCCGCCCACCATCTTCCTCCCTGCAGGACAGCTCTACACCAAAGACTCATAAGGCCTCAAATGGCAGCAGCGCTGAGGTTAAGTAACCCAAGTTCAGAGGCTGCTTAGAAGAGGGCAAGCTGGCTGAGCTGAGATTAGCCAGGAGAGTGCGGCATGAGAAAGATGTCAGAGTGAATAACAAGTGGGGAGGACTGAAAATGGGTCCTGACTTTAAGGATGTGGTAAATTCTGTTGACCATAAGTTTCTGTGATATGGGGGTCAGTGAGGGAGAAGCTTTTTTTGTTGTTTTTGTTTGTTTGAGACAGTCTTGCTCTGTTGCCCAGGCTGGAGTGCAGGGGCACAATCTTGGCTCACTACAACCTCCACCTCCCGGGTTCAAGTGATTTTTGTGCCTCAGACTCCCAAGTAGCTGGGATTACAGGCATGCATCACCACACCCAGCTAATTTTTTGTATTTTAGTAGAGACAGGGTTTCACCATCTTGCTCAGGCTGGTCTCGAACTCCTGAGCTCAGGTGATCCACCCGCCTTGGCCTCCCAAAGTGCTGGGATTACAGGCGTGAGCTACCGTGCCGGGCCTGGAGAAGCTTTTTTTAAGTAAAGAGTAGGAGAATGAGAAGATGGAGACAGTGGGTGTAGACAGCTCTACAATTAGAGATAAAGCAGTAACTGAAGGGGGAAATGGGATGAGGTTAGGCTATTTGTTTGTTTGTTTAGAGATGGAGTTTCGCTCTTGTTGCCCAGGCTGGCAGTGGCTCAATCTCAGCTCACTGCAACCTCTGCCTCCCAGGTTCAAGTGATTCTCCTGCCCCAGCCTCCCTAGTAGCTGGGATTACAGGTGCCCGCCACCATGCCCAGCTAATTTTTTGTATTTTTAGTAGAGACGGGGTTTCACTATGTTGGCCAGGCTGGTCTCGATCTCCTGACCTCAGGTGATCCACCTGCCTCAGCCTCCTAAAGTGCTGGGATTACAGGCGTGGGCCACCGTGCCTGGCTATTTCTGTATTTTAAAGATAAGAAGACTGAGCACAGTGGCTCATGCCTGTAATTCTAGCACTTTGGGAGGTGAAGGCAGGAGGATTGCTTGAAGCCAGGAGTTTGAGACCAGCCTGGGCCACGTAGCAAGACCTGGTCTTTACGGAAAAAAAAAAAAAGGCTGCGCATGGTTGTGCATACCTGTAGTTACAGCTACTCCAGAGGCTGAGGTGGGAGGATTGCCCAGGAGTTTGAGGCTGCGGTGAGACGTGATCACACAGCTGCACTGCAACCTGGGCAATAGGGCAAAACCTGATAACAAATAAAAAGGTGAAGATGAGAGGCATTTGAGCATTTGAAAATGCTAACATTCCCAGGGTGCTGGGATGCAGAGATAGGGAGGAAAGGACTGGCTTTAACTTGGAAGAGTGGCTTCTGCCGTAGCAGGAGGGGAAGGGAAGAAGATGGATTAATTAATCCAGTGGCTTACGGAGGCTTCGTTGACCTCTGCCTCTCAGTTCTGGTGGAAGCTTTGATGGCTCAGGAGGGGAGTCAGCAGCAGACCATTGATCCCAAACTGAAGATTGTCATGTGCCTTTGAAGGCAGGGAAAGGTTTGTTTTTTTTGTTTAATTTTTTGAGATGGAGTCTTGCTCTGTCCCCAGGCTGTAGTGCAGTGGCACGATCTCGGCTCACTGCAAGCTCCGCCTCCCGGGTTCACGCCATTCTCCTGCCTCAGCCTCCCGAGTAGCTAGGACTACAGGTGTCCGCCACCACACCCAGCTAATTTTTTTTTGTATTTTTAGTAGAGACGGGGTTTCACCATGTTAGTCAGGATGGTCTCGATCTCCTGACCTCGTGATCCGCCCACCTTGGCCTCTCAAAGTACTGAGATTACAGGCGTGAGCCACCATGCGCGGCCAAGGTTTGGTTTTAGGACGTGTTGGACCAATAATGAAGGTTCTGGGTGTTCTGTGAACCATCACCAGCAAAGACAGGGATATAATACTGGTCAGGTTTCTGAGGAGGGCTGTCACCTGGAGCATTTAATGAGCAAACTTTCTCTTTGGAATCAACAATGCAGTTCCTTTTTTCCCTCCAGTTTTCTTGCATGTTCTTTGGAGCAGTTTCTTCTGACCAGCAAGAACACTTCAACCACCCTTTCGACAGTCTGGCAAGAGCAAGTGACAGTGAAGAGGACATGAATAATGGCAGTTTCTCTATATTCTAATGCTTAATGATGGCTGAGCTGGGCCCCAGCCCAGTGACTGGCTCATTTGCCCCTCAAGCACGAGTTTGCATGTTTAGTGTCTAAAAGAGGTTGTCCAGGACTTCCTTTTAATGGAGGATGGGCTTTTAAACCACATCATCTTGTACAACAACCATATCTAGAAATAGCTGTTTGTCAAGTGTATGTAACTTGCTTTAAATCCATTATGCTACTTGTGAGGCAGAAGAGTTTTCTGTGAAGGAAAAAAGCCCATTAGAGTTCTTCAATTCAATGCACGTTCACCCTAGAGCTTTTAACATCTTTGCTAGTTTTATAAAGGTATTTAAACTTTATTCAACAGCCATTTAGAGTGCCATCAAGATGGCTTGAAATGGAATTTTGTGATTTGTAGTCAGGTATCTTTTGTATTTGATTGCAAACATTTGGATTTTAGTTTTCTCATGTAATACCATGGCCTTTTTTGTGCATTGTTTTTTATATTTTAAGACTTTAAGTAGAATAAACCCTGGAAAAAAGATCAAGAGTAAAAATATATAGTCACTTTCACTTGGCTTTTTTAGACGGAGTCTCACTTTGTCACTCAGGCTCAAGTGCAGTGGTGCAATCTCTGCTCACTGCAACATCTGCCTCCCAGGTCCAAGCGATTCTCCTGCCTCAGCCTCCCGTGCAGCTGGGATTGCAGGTGCGTGCCACCATGCCTGGCTAATTTCTGGTATTTTGTAGAGACAGGGTTTCGCCATGTTGGCCAGGGTGGTCTTGAACTCCTGGCCTCAAGTGATCTGCCCACCTCGGCCTCCCAAAGTGCTGGGATTACAGACTTGAGCCACTGCGCCCAACCTGGAGTGTTTTTACATATTGTAAAATTTTATTTCCTAACCTCAAATTGTTCTGATTTTCAGATGTGATTTTTTATTTTGCAGTGTGCTGCAGGAAAGAATTTAATGGAAGTGATGCCAAATATTTCTGTATTATCTGACATAGAACAGTATCCTCCACTGCCAAGACAGCCTGAGTTTGGAGTGGAATAAGGTGGAAGACAAATGTCTCTGTTCTTTGGCCCTTTAAGAGTTAGCTTTTTACCTGCACAAATGGACTAAAAAATCTGGCACAAAACATTGTTATGTAATGTCTTATGATGTGTGCCTCTCCCTCCCCCAAACCTGTTTACAGTCAATTATAACCTGACAAACGAGACTTTTGTAACATATTATTGTTACATCTTTCTGAAACCTTCAAACCGTAAGGAAGTGTTAACTGGCAAGCAGTTGTACTTTAGACTTTGTGAGAAATTCATAAAGGTGGCTGAGTGGATTTGCATGCTTTAGAACTGTGAATAGAGTTCTAACTGAAACCAGAATTAATTTGGCTCTTGTAGCTTAGTAATGAGTCATAGCTACCCACAATAACCTAATAAAAACTCAAGTTCATCCCAAGATGTTCCTTAGTGAATGAAAATGGGCCTTAACCAAGCTTTTTGTGGTAACTGGCAATGCCCACATAATTTCAACTAAGTCCTTTCATCACATGGTAGGGGAAGATATATGTATCTTATGCTTACACTGATGATTAACACTGAATTTCTGGTATTTCTAACAAATGCAGATGCCTACACAGGGAGCTTTTATACACAAAAGTAACTCTGTAGGTCTCTTTGCTGAGGATAACATTTCTGGTTCATTCATTGAAGTAGGCAGAGGGGTTTAGGTCTTAAAGGCATCATCATCAGTAATAGCCTGGATGCAGCATTGGACTATTATTATAGTTAATACTGGCGGGGTGTAGTGGCTCATGCCTGTAATCCCAGCACTTTGGGAGGCCCAGGTGGGCGGATCAGTTGAGCCCAGCAGTTCAAGACTAGCCTGGGCAACATGGTGAGATCCCATCTCTACAAAAATTAGCTGGGCACTTTGGATTTTAGAATTTGGATACAGAGTGCTAAGCTGAAATACAGTCATGTGCTGCATAACAACGTTTTGGTCAACGATGGACTGCACAGACAGTGGTGGTCCCATAAGATAATGGAGCTGCCCTATACAGGTGTACCATTTTTTTGTCTTTCATACCATAGTTTTGCTGAAACATTTCTATGTTTAGATATACAGATGCTTACTGTTGTGTTACAACTGCCTACAGTATTCAGTACAGTAACATGTTATACAGGTTTGTCGCCTAGGAGCAACAGGCTATTCATATAGCCCAGATGTGTAGTAGGCTAGACCATCTAGGCTTGTGTCAGTACACAATGATGAAATTGCTAAGGATGCATCTGTCAGAACATCTCTGTTAAACAACACGACTGACTGTACAGCAGATTTTTTTTGTAGCTTCCCTCTATACTATACGGAAGGTGCAAAGCCTCAGCTGGGAAAAAGTTCTATAATTTACATTTAATTGTCCGTCCATTTTGATGAATTTCTGAGGAAGCTAAACTGATGTAGTGAAGCAGCTGGAGCCAGTTAAAGTAGCAGCATATAATCAGTGCTAGAATGACTAGGAGGCTTGGAAATGAGGACCTGATAGTGACCAACAAACTCAATGTCAAGGGCTGGTGTCTCATTTAGTTACTATTCAAACCAAAAGAAGCACACAGATTAGTATAAATACTATATTTATTAAATATCTTTACAGTTTATTTAAATGTATTTACAGAACTATTCCTGCATAAGTTATAATTCAGACATCCAAATTCAGGTAATTGCCTCTTGGGTAATAAGACAAATAATGATAGTCTCAACAGAAAAAAAGCAGCTCATTAGTATACACACAGATTCTAATTTGCTTCATTATTTAGCCATCTTTGCCACAAACTACCTGCTAACAGTTAAAATTCTGACATGGACACGTTTTAGTTGAGAAGTTCAATTTTGCAAAGAATTTAATTTTAAATAAATAGAATCCAAATATGTCCTGCTTCATGTTTTGTTTCATAAGCAGATTTTGGTTTTTTGATACTGTAAAATTTTTAAAATGCAAAAATGTGATACAGTTTCCAGAGAAACTGAATGCTGTAGCTTCTACCAAAGATAGCTGGTATTAAGGTGACCTAAAGAACCATGAACTCATCCAAAGTACAAACGTTTACAATTCGAGCCAATCTTGTTTACATTCTCTCAAACACTCAAAGCTGACTCAATAAATTCCCACGATTCCTGCCTAACTTGTTACTTGGTATGGTGGGCTAATGGTACTGAAGGTGGTTTCCATCTCCGGGCTACTGTCCTATCCAGAACACACGCAGCTGATAGAGGAGAGGACGCTCTCCCATCATGCAAAGCTTGAAACCCAGTTTCTAATCTAGACACAGCCCAACCCCCAGACATGCATACCTGGAATGGATTCTTTTGTGATTTAGTACCCAACAACCATGTCAAGCAAGTACAGTAACTCAGGACAAATAACTTGTTCCCCCTGCATCCCATTTCTTTTAGTTTTTAGAGCCTATGGACTCTACTGCATCTCCATTTGGTAAATTTTTTTTTTTTTTGTGCGCAGGCAGCTTAAGTTCATAGGAAGAAATAAGGTTCTGATATGTTTAGAGTGCACATTTTAAAACAACAAAATAAAAATTTCAAGCATGTGATAAAAATATTGATTTTTATAATACAGTATTGCTTTATAAATATAGATGGAAAAGCTATAAACTTTACTGGTCTTTGGTGCATCCAGAGAGGGATAAATAATTTGCCATTTGTAAATTAGAAATCCAAATTTTTTCTTTTGTTATAAAAGTCCATTACATGAGGCGTGTGTGTGTGTGTGTGTTGCTTAAAATATAATTAACACACACATCAGGTTCAGAATCAGACCCACCAAGTGGTACAGCACAGTAACAACCCATGGAAGCTTGGGTCTGTGACCTGGAAAATTCTACTATGGGTCCAACACAGCCTCTGACCACTGAGAGTAGGAGAGATACTTGTTAAGCAGCACTCCAGCTGACCCCCCCGGCAGTCATAAAATTAAGTGCATAACACAAAAAGAACAGGGGAAAATAGAGAAAATATTTTATGTCACTAATCTATAGGCCAGATCCAAAGCCAATTCCACTGTGAAACTCAATTCTTGCCCCCACTACTTTCAGTATCACTGGAACAAACACATCGTCAATTTCTAACAATCGTTTCTCAAAAAGGTAAGCTGAGTAAATAAGTTGTATAAAACACCACCAATCTAGCTTTACAAAGATTGTGTTTGACGGGTTAAATGAGAGCAGAGAAAAACCAGAAACTTGACGAGCACTGCTCTTACCAGGAATTAAATGTAGGCGTTGGAAAATGAATGCAAAATATATCCAGATCATAAGGCTACATACTCTTACCAAAAATAATTGAAAACCTAAACAAAAGAGCTGAAGTTGTCAGTCCTAATATAAATGTATTCATTCTAACAAAACCCTTCTGGATGCAACTTTCTTTACTTTTTAAATACACAGAGACTGCAAATAGTTTGTGCAAAATAAATACCCCGCCACTTGCCACTCATGCTTCTGTGTTTTATCATAGCATGATGATTTCTCCTTAAATAGAGACTCCGTCCAGACCCCCCACCCCGCCCCCACCGCGTCTACCAAAGAATTCTGTTTTGTCAAGTTAGGGTAGTTAAGGCATTCTGACATGTAATTAAAGGTGATTCAAAATAGATTATCTAACATTATGCCAATTTAGGAATAGTAGATAAATTACTGAACGGCTTACAAATGAATAACTCATTCTTATTATAAATGAAATGCCTGTTACAAGCATGATGCATTGAAATATAGTAATGACATGTACATGGTACATGTTAAACAATTTTAAATAAAAGCCTGACAGTTACTCAAATATACAGTACAAATTCACAAAACAAAATCTTTTAAAACAAGTTGAGGTAACCTCAAACATAAATTTTAATGCAATAAACCAGGGAGTCAGTATCTCCTTTAGAGAAAGACTTTCTATATTCTCAAGTAGATTCTCATCAGGTTTAATTGCATTCTCATCTATACACCAATGTTACCTGACTTATATATAAAACATGGCTTTAATTTAAGGATTTCTAAGTATATATTTTTTTCTACCACCAAGTTAATGAAGGAAAAAAACTGACCCAAAAATATATATCTTTACAGCAGTCAACTTGTACACAAAACTTAAAAATAAGTTTCAGCTTGCAGATAATGTGAAAACTGAATGCGGGGTAGTTTTGTAAGGAAACTATACACTGCAAAATGGCTATTTGGAAACTGTAAACATTAAGCTTGATTCAGAAACCCCTAAATTTCCATGTGGGGTAATTGTAAATGTCAGATCATCACTGGGAGTTTTCCTCATGGACGTCTGTGCTGCTGCCGCTGCGCACACAGTGCTCTCTCCACATGGACTCACTGGATTTGGTGCATGCTCTATAGAAAGCAAGGCTACTAATAAAAGGTCTGAGAGTACGAGTATGGGTAGGTAGCATGACCACTGAAAGCCAACAAAATTCAAAGTTACAGCTGTCTGTTCTCAACCCTTCAGGCCTTGGGACCTAGAGTTCCCATTCAGGGGCATTCTATCAGACAACTAGGAGGAATTTCAGCCATAACAATTAAATTTCTAGGCTTTGAGGGGTTTTACAACCTTGAGTATTATTTCCATAAAAAAATACTGGTAAAGTGTCTCCCCTACCCCTCCTGGAGATCAGGCCTTAGCCTGTGATTTGGACTAATCAATAAACTGCCAAAACTTTAACCACAGGAACACAAACATCTTTTTAAAAGCATGAAATATTTCCATCCATAGAACTAAAATGGATTTTTCTCCCGATTTGTAACAAAAAAGCTTTTGGGATCAAAACTGTATAACCCAGAGCAATGTTTTAGAGCAGAATCATAAGCCCCTGAAAAATAGGAGTTTATAACAAAGACATAAAGCCACACCAATCATCATAACAAAGACTATGCCTGTGGAGTACACATGTAACATTTCTTTTGATGAATAATGTATGTTTCTAGTAGATGTATCATTACGTACAATTTGTGTTAGACTTGTACCATCCCTTTAGCATACTAGGATTTTGAATTCACTTTACCAACATTACTCATTTTCAATACTTCAACTACTTTGAAAAGTAACAGCCACGGTGGCACTGAACACCTCCATCCCCATCATGGAAAGAACATCGAGAAATGAAGGCCAATCTTCAAATATTGGATCTCTTCAATTGCTGCCGGCAGATATGAGCTAGTGAATGATAGTAGTGGTTCTCAACAAAGATCTCAACGAGTCTCAAGAAGACAGGCAAAAGACTTACATCACTGGCCATTGAGATCAGTGGCAAAGAAATGTGGTCCTGCCAGCAGGATCAGCACACATGGCAGGGGAAATTTGGGATGATGAAAGGAAAGGCAGGACTTGACACCTCAGCTAGTCTGTATACTCAGCCACTATTGAAAGAAGGACGGTGATGTCATCTGGCTTTCCACCTACAATGAAAATGAGAACCTATCAGTATATTTTAAAAGGAAAAGTCAATAAAAAATGTGTACTTAAATTAAGTACTAGGAGACAAATGCTTGCATTCCAGGCAGTTTTGGTTTGTCAGTATACCCTAGTAGAATAAAGAAAAAAATATTTGATTAAAAAAAAACAGTTAAACAAAACTCCAAGAAATTACATGAAACTGAAGCTTAAAAAAAAAAATCTTCCCTGCTCCTTTACAACAGGAGCTCTATTCAAACAGCCACCACACCCTCTGTTCACATCAATCACAGTGAATCTGACGAGAAAGTTACATGCTTCTATACCCACAATCCTAATTTAGACAGACATATCCAATGTTTTGAAACTAGGAATAGCCTTGTATTCTAATCTGCCAAACAGCTATGGCATGCACTTTTTCTATTTTAACATTTTTTGGAGGACTAAGAAATGTTTCACATGTCATAAAATTATACCAACAAGAAACTAATTCTACTAGCTCTGATATGCTAGCACCAACATGTCCCAGCCCTGAGACGGAGCCACTGGCCTGCTCCCAAAGTCACACATCATGCTGTAGATAGGACAAGTCTTCAGTCAAGGGCAGTTTCACATTGCTTCCCTCTTCAAACCCTGCTGTGGCAATTTGTCAGGCAAATACTGTTGAGTCCCACAAAGCCAGAGGAAGGGAGAAGCGAAATGTCAGACACGTGAAAGGCTGAATGTTAAACTGTTAGGAATGTCCACGCACTCTGGGCAGAGCTCGGAAGCCTTTTGGGTTCAGGTCCAAGCATTGCGGTGGCGGCAATAAAGGGCTTCAGGTTCCACCTGCCTCTGCCGCCAATGAGGTTCAGTTCTGAAGGGCATGCTGTGTGGGGAAGACATGACGAAATGCACTTGCTCTCATCCTCCTGACCTTGCTGAAAGCCACAAGTGCACAGTTTGGGGGCTGGGAGAGGACACCTCCACAGTCTCACCCAGAGCCCAGAATGCTCCACTCTACTGACACCATGTCCCCAGTCAGTCCCTATGACCTTCCCAAAGAATGCTTACCTCTCACATTCAATCCATTGTCACATGCAAACTGTGCAAAAGGTGACATATAATTTGGGTCATAGGCCAGCTCATGAGCTTGCTCAGCAATGCTTCTGGCAGTCTGTTGTATACTCTCATAATTTGAATTCTAAGATAAAGCATGAGGAAGTTATTTTACCATAATGCTCAAGACAGTAACATTTATCTAACCACCTTTTCCATCATGTAAGTTTTATTCTAGTTAGAAAAGACATTAAAACATCATGCCCTGGCTAATATGAACAAGACTCCAGTGCTGCCTGCACAAGGTATCAATCAGAAAGTCCTTTGCTTTGGTGGCCTTAAGCCCTAAAGTTTGGATTTTCATTTTTGCTTTTTTTCCCATTTGAAATTCTTAAGGTATTCTTGCTAAAATAGGATGAACTGAAAAGGCAGATTCTGATAGCCTTTGAAGGATACCTCAAAAGCTTCCTTGCTTAGGAACACAGCCTGGCCAACCCCAGTTTGCTCTCCAAGAGCTACCAGTTGCTCTAGTGAAAATACCTTCAGAATTTTATATCAGGAAGAGATTCCTGTCGAGCTGTGAAATCTTGGGCCATACCTTTATCCTTGCTGCTCCAACTTCCTCATCTGCAAAACGGGGATGGGAACACGAGGTCCACTTCAGCTCTAGTTTCAGTATAATGACAGGTCTCTGCTTCAATGTCACCTCCTCAAAAAGGCCCTTCCTGACCAATCTATCTAAAGTAGTAGCAGTCCCTTCTACTCTCTATTCCCTTATCCAGCTTTGTTTTTCTTATTTAGCACCCACATTACATCATAGATTTACTTCCCTGTATTTATCTATTTTCCTCCACTAGGATGTAAGTTCCATACAGGTAGGGACTGTGTAGATTCTGCTCACCACTGTGTCACCACACAGAGCACGGTGCCTGTGACAAGGAAGCACCTCACACTGACTGCACTCCACAGACAAGGCGTGGCGCTAAGGAGTTCCTACACAGGGCTGTAGTTAATCCTCACTGCAACCCTATAAAAGAGGATCTTTAGGATGCCCCATTTTATATGAAGAAAATACTGCTTAAACAGTTTTAAGAAACCCTCAGATCTCAGCAACTTCAATAAATAATAAAAAAAAGAAAGAAACGTACCCAAAGTCATACTGGTTAGAGGTAAAGACTCATGAGAAAAAGACTCATTTTTCCCAGAGTATGTTCACAAAGCCAGGAAAAAATTGAAAGCCTAGTTTCACCTCCTTCCTCTATGGGAGAAACCCATACTATTTGGTTACTGGTGGCAGCTCAGGTCACACTGAGGCTTCCAGTGGCCTGCTGCCTTTGGCTGGCTCTGGCATGACTATTTCCTGTCTTTGCCTGATTCAACACCTGCTGGGTGTTAGAAGAATAAAAGGAGAAACAACCAGGACCCGACACCATTAAAATATAAATAAAGATACAAACAAGAAATGCCCTCCATCTAGACTTTTCCTACTTCTACCAGCCTATGAAAACCTTGGGTAGGAAGCTTCTTTTTCCAAGTGCTCTAATTATTTGAAAGACCAGAGCTATTATTATTTTCCTGAAATTCACAAAATAGTTCTTTCCAAAACTACAAAGAGATAATGCAACTGAATCCATAAAACTCAGCTATCCAGAGAGGGCCACTTTTCCCAAGAGCTAACCTTTGAGTTAATTACCTTTAACTTTTTTAGCTCCTGAAGAATCATATAATCAGGCATGTTGTCAAAGAGTCCATCTGTTGCCGTCAGGATAATGTCTCCTAGCTGGACATCGAAAGACGTGCTATCAGCAGCATCCGGACTGTGGCAAGGACAGGGGAGGGACAAAGTTAAGAAGGCCCTTTACAGATGAGTTGAAAATGTCCTACAGGCACTATTTTACAATGTAATAAGCTTTCTGCAAGAAAAACTGATTTATCATAATGGAGTCAATTTTTAAAAAAAGTCATTCTGAAATTCCCAACTCTGAAAAAAGTTAATCGAAAATTCTAATATAAATGTTTCAAATTTTTAACTGAAACTACCGAGTAAAACCAAGTCTGATGATTAGTCACAAGTGGCTGAGAAGGAGGGAGGAAGGGTCCTCTTCTGAGTCAGATCTAACACACCTCTAAAATCCTAGTGGAAATGAGTCTTTATTCCTAATTCTTTACAGCCGAATTCCATCCCCCCCCGCCTTTTTTTTTTTTTTTTTTGGAGACAAGTCTCGCTCTGTTGTCGAGGCTGGAATGCAGTGGCACGATATAGGCTCACTGCAACCTCTGCCTCTTGGGTTCAAGCGATTCTCCTGTCTCAGCCTCCCAAGTAGCTGGGACTACAGGCATGTAAAATAGTGCCTGTAGGACCACAGTCATGCACCACCACGCCTAATTTGTTTTTACATTTTTAGTAGAGACAGGGTTTTGCCACGTTGGCCAGGCTGGTCTTGAACTCCTGACCTCAGGTGATCCGCCTGCCCCGGCCTCCCAAAGTGCTGGGATTACAGGCATGAGCCACTGTAATCACCAGCCACCCAGCCCACCCCCTCTTATTCACATATTTCACTCATCAGTTTCCTCGAATATTTGAATCTGGGTCCTGGAGTGCCATAGTGAGGGTGGGATGATGAATACCTGTGGAGAACAACATGCCAATCTTTTTTTTTTTTTTGAGACAGAGTCTCGCTCTGTCGCCCAGGCTGGAGTTCAGTGGCGCGATCTCGGCTCACTGCGAGCTCCGCTTCCTGGGTTCACGCCATTCTCCTGGCGCAGCCTCCCGAGTAGCTGGGACTACAGGTGCCCGCAACCATGCCCGGCTAATTTTTTGTATTTTTAGTAGAGACAGGGTTTCACCATGTTGGCCAGGATGGTCTTGATCTCCTGACCTCGTGATCTGCCCGCCTTGGCCTCTCAAAGTGCTGGGATAACAGGCGTGAGCCACTGCGCCCAGCCGCCAATCTTATAAGAATTCATTCACTGCTGGGTGTGGTGGCTCACGCCTGTAATCCCAGCACTTTGGGAGGCCAAGGTGGGTGGATCACCTGAGGTCAGGAGTGCAAGACCAGCCTGACCAACACGGTGAAACCCCGTCTCTACTAAAAATTAAAAAATTAGCCAGGCGTGGTGGCACACGCTTGTGATCCCAGCTATTCAGGAGGCTGAGGCAGGAGAATTGCTTGAACCCGGGAGATGGAGGTTGCAGTGAGCCAGTGAGCCAAGATCGTGCCACTGCCCTCCAGCCTGGCAACAGAGTGAGACTCCATCTCAAAGAAAAAGAAAAAGGAAAAAAATAATTCATTCACTTGCCAGTCGCAGTGGCTCACGCTTGTAATCCCTGCACTTTGGGAGGCCAAGGCGGGCGGATCACCTGAGGTCAGGAGTTTGAGACCAGCCTGGTTAAAACCCGTTTCTACCAAAAATACAAAAAATTAGCTGGGCGTGGTGGCACACGCCTGTAATCCCAGCTACTAGGGAGGCTGAGGCAGGAGAATCACTTGAACCTGGGAGGCAGAGGTTGCAGTGAGCTGAGATTGCACCATTGCACTCCAGCTAGGGCAACGAGAGCTAAACTCCGTCTCAAAAAAAAAAAAAAAAAAAAAGAATACATTCACCGGAAATAGCTACAGTATTTTGGCATAGTAAGGACTCTGTGTCTCCCAAGGGTCCCAAAGTGGTCATCATACGTAGGTATTTATTAGTGTGCCTCATGTAACACGTCTTCAAGAAATATCTTGATATCTTGACCAGGCGTGGTGGCTCACCCCTGTAATCCCAGCACTTTGGGAAGCCGAGGCAAGCAGATTATTTGAGGTCAGGAGTTCAAGACCAGCCTGGCCATCATGGTGAAACCCCATCTCTGCTAAAAATACAAACGTTAGCCAAGCATGGTGGCGTGCGCCTATAATCCCAGCTACTTGGGAGGCCGACACAGGAGAATCACTTGCTTCAACCCCAAAGCTGAAGGTTGCAGTGAGCTGAGATGGCGCCACTGCACTCTAGCCTGGGCAACAGAGCAAGACTCCATCTCAAGAAAAAAAAAAAATAGAAGAAATATCTGTTGCATAACTGAATGAAGCAGCAAAATATTTGACTCTCCAAATTGGGGGAAAAAACTCTTCAATATACTGTTGAAGAAAGCAAGGTGAAGACGGTGTGTCGTATGTGCAACCATTTCCGTAAAAAAAAAAAGGCAGAAAGACACACAGACATGGATGCTTCTATATGCAGGGAATAGATCTGGAGAGAATCAAAGAAACTGCTCATAGCGGGCTGTGGGTGGTGGCTCACACCTGTAATCCCAGCACTTTGGGAGGCCAAGGTGGGCAGATCACTTGAGGTCAGGAGTTCAAGACCAGCCTGCCCAACATGGTGAAACCCTGTCTCTACTAAAAAATACAAAAAGTTAGATCATGGTGGTGCACACCTGTAATTCCAGCTACTCGGGAGGCTGAAGCAGGAGAATTGCTAGAGCCAGGGAGGCAGCAGTAGCAGTGAGCCGAGATTGCGCCACTGCACTCCAGCAGCCTGGGCAGCAGAGCGAGACTCTGTCTCAAAAAAAAAAAAAAAAAAAAAAAAAAGAAAAAGAAACTAAAGAAACTGCTCATAAAGAAACCTTTGAGGACAGAATATGTGGCTAAGGGCAGGAACAGGAGGCAGATGTCTCACTAAACTTTTTTGTGTACAACTCTTGAAAAAAAAAACAGATGGAAGATCTTTTTCTCTGACAATGCCTGATGAAAACAGACATAAAAATGGGGGAAAACCCCGGGTGGGGAGAAAAGATCCTATATTCAGAGATCATGGCCTCCTGAGGCTGGTTCTTGGCGACTTCTTAAGGCCAGTTTCCCTCCTTCCAGGCCTCCCTGGGGAGGGAAAGGTGAGATCTGATAATCCGCCTTAATCTGTAATTAAGGAACAAGAGCCAGGAAAGCAAATCAGATACCGACCCGGAAGGGAGGCACCAGATCCAAAGCACCCTAAGCTCCACGGAAAAACCCCAACACTTGTGTAAGCAACATGTGACAACATTTGTGAAGAGAAAGCATAAAAACTAACAAACAAAAGCACACATGCCTATGAGGATTCACACTAAATGCACTCAGAAAATTTCTGGTTCATCTTCACTTGACTGAGGAAAAAGGTGGCACATGTAAAGTTCTGCCATGTGCTGCTGCAGGGAACCGACTTTCACTTACATATTTAGATAATCAACATTTTGTAAAAATGTCTACTAAAGGAAAACCTGTAAGTTAAGGTTAAAATAATATTCTGTAGATAAGAGGGACCATTAACTAAGGAGATACATGCAGCATGAAAAAAAAAAAAGGGAAAAAGACTGTAAAACTGGGGGAAATCAGGTCAATTCTTTCTGTGGAATAAAGAGAAAACAATGCAAGACGCTCTCATCTGCTCAGCCTTTGAAAGCTAATCAGATTCTAGAAGTGTAGATTAATGACCAGGTTGGCACTGAAGCTCTGTTTTATGCTGAGGTTTTTCTTTCCCCAGAAGTGTCCTTTGCTATTCTGTCTGTGAGAGTCTTGCTCCCATTGGACAGTTCGTCCTCTCCTAACACTCCCACCCATGAGCTTGGTGTTCTGCCAGCTGCAGTTTTGCCCATTTTGATTGAACATACTGTGCTGCTGGAAACTTTTGACCGCACTGAAACATGAGCTGAAATCACATGCTAGCGAGCTGTCTCTGGGCTCTAGGGGAAGCCACCTCCACCTCGCTGGCATGCCGGCAGAGTACTGCCCCAACCTGTCTGTCCCACAGACAGTGTGTGAGATATGGCAGGGCTGCTTTGGTGCTTGGAAGCCCAACAAGAAGAATCAAATGAAGAAAAAATTGAAGCACCAGTCTCCAAAAACTGTGATCTGAGCTTGGGCTCTACGGAGGCCTTGGGGTTCAGAGTTCTCCCCACTCCAGTGTGGCTAACAATAATGTAGATTACAGCCAACTTTAGAAGGGCCTAGAATCAAATACTCTTCCAATTATGGTCACCCGCCTACTTTTACTTTTTACTTTTGGATTTAGACTGGTGACCATAATTGGAAGAATATTTAGACTTTTACCGGTAAAAGTTACTTTTACTGCTAAATTTTTAGATGGGCAATGCTGAACATTTAATTACATAACATGCTCGTTCCAGTTTAAAAGATGGCAATAATAATTCATTTTATCTTAGTTTGGACCTAAGAGATGGTTTAATGAGAGCTATTAAGTAGAGACAAGTACTTGCTAGAATGCTTCTATTTTTACAAAAGGTTCATTGTCCATTAATCAACATTTATGAATTGCCAGTGATGTTTGTGCCAGGTCCTATAAAGCTATAAGATTGTTAAAGACACTGAAATCTGAGGCTTTGCCTTACTCTGGACACTCATCTAAGAAAAGATAAACTGTAAAAGTCAACTCAAAAAAAGCACCATTTTGGCTGGGCGCAGTGGCTCATGCCTGTAATCCCAGCACTTTGGGAGGCCGAGGCGGGTGGATCACGAGGTCAGGAGTTTGAGACAAGCCTGGCCAACATGGTGAAACCCTGTCTCTACTAAAAATACAAAAATTAGCCAGGCATGGTGGCGGGCACCTGTAATCCCAGCTACTTGGGAGGCTGAGGCAGGAGAATCGCTTGAACCAGGAGGCGGAGGTTGCAGTGAGCTGAGATCATGCCATTGCACTCCAGCCTGGGCAACAAGAGCAGGACTCTGTCTCAGAGAAGGGGCGGGGAAAAAAAGCAGCATCTTGGAACGTTCTTGACAATTTAAAAGTGAACTGAGAAAAGATGTGAGAAAGAAAAAGAGAACACCTCAATAACATTATCAAAGAACATATCCAAGACCACTTTTTTTAAAAGACAGGGTGTCACTATGTCACCCAGGCTGGACTCCAGCGATTTTCCAGCCTCAGCCTCTCAAGTACCTGGGACTATGGTCCTACACCACTGTGCCCACCTCAAGACCATTTTGGTTTTATTGTTTTGGTTTTTTTTGAGACAGAGTCTTGCTCTGTCACCCAGGCTAGAGTGCAGTGGCGCAATCTCGGCTCACTGCAATCTCTGCCTCCTGGGTTCAAGCGATTCTCCTGCCTCAGCCTCCTGAGTAGCTGGGACTACAGGCGCCCGCCATCACGCCCAGCTAATTTTTGCATTTTTAGTAGAGATGGGGTTTCACCATGTTGGCCAAGCTGGTCTTGAACTCCTGGCCTCAAGTGATCCACCCGCCTCAGCCTCCCAAAGTCCTGGGATTACAGGCGTGAGTCACCGTGCCCAGTCACTTAAGACCATTTTGACTCCATTTCCTGCAAGTTCTATTTGATGCATGTAGTAAGAGGTCTAGAGAATCAGGAAGTTACTCCAATAAATAACGCAGATGTCTGTTTGTGCTCTTCCCTAACAATGTATGCAAAATCTTGTACAAGCAATGGCATGCATGAACAATGACTCATTTCTCCAGCACAATTTAATAAAGTACTGTATGTACCATGTGGTGTTGATATGAAAAATTGATATTCTGTAAGCCTGAAATAGTATTTTCATGGTCTTGTCAAATTATTGGGTATTTATCAGAATTCCACTTAGCTAGATTATCTAGTTCCAGAAAAGTATCTTTCAAAGTTAAACTAAAAGGTCCTCTTGATGAGAACATTCTCAGTGTATTCTTTTCATGGAAATGCCTACCTCACTGCACTCAAGGGGGACAGGAGGGGACTATGAATGAGCCACGTCCTGCTCACACTTAATGGCTGAGAGGGGAGATTACCTGTCGCTCAAGACGACTCCCTCGGCTTCAGGGGGAGCGATTGAGAGCTGGAATGGAGTGTTGAAGTAATGCTGCTGCTCATCTGATCGGTGCACGACTTCACCACCCCTGACAACCAGGAAGCCTGAATCGCCCAGGTTTGCTGTGTGTAAGCGGTGGCTGGTTCTGTCCAGCACCACAATGCAGGCGGTGCTGCTACCTAGAAACAAAAATCATCTCCATTTATTTTTTCTTCCTAGGCTGCCTTTGCACACACATTTTAACACATGACCCCACAGAGCAACACACCATAATTTCAATCTCCTTTGCCTAAACAGGACCTTTCTTAGTTATGCTCCACATCCTCTACGAATATCAATAAAATCCTGATCAGGGTTAACACGGTGGGGAAAGAAAAAGGATTTGTATTATACATAGTAATTGGGCCACAGATGATCTGAATTCTTCCATTTGCATTGACAGAAAGCAATAAAAATGACTGGTATTTAATCACACTATTTCATTTCAACAGTGCTGTCATCTATGCCAAATGCTCAAAAACATGTTGTTGAGATATTAAGTTTTAATACTTCAATGCCAGAATGAAAATGTTACATTTTCCCGACATTTCTTATTAGTCATTGGCCACAAAATTCACTCACATTTAAGACAGGGCACATAACTACAATTTTAAACCAGATTTCCATCTGTTGAGGTCAGGAAGAACTTTTATTGGAGACTAATGACTCACTCACTATGAGGTAACAAGACCAAATTTCTGCAGGCAGCTTGTGGAATCAACCTGTTCATTCGACAGAGACTCTGGGCAAAGAACTCTGCATAGCTTTGCTGTGCACGGGCCACAGAATCTTCCCTAGACTGAAAGGCTAATGGCACAACTAGCAGAGACCACTCTCAAGTACTAACAGTTAAACCTACCTACCGCCACCAGAAAAATGGCAACATAGAAAAACAGGCAGTTCACAAAGAAATAAGTGTAGATGATCTGTAAATATATGAAAAAATGACCACCTCACTAGTAACGCTTTTCACCTATTAGTTTAACACGAGTCAAAAGAAGATAATGCATATTGTTGGCAAAGTGTAGGGAACATGCCCACTGCACAGAACATTCATTCTGCGGGAGTGAAAAGTAAAAGTAAACAACTTTCCTGGAGCGCAAGATAGCCCGGAAAAATGTACCTCCTTTCATCTAGCAATTCCATCTCTGAGAATTTACGCTAAGAAAATAATTAGAAGGGCAAACAAGACTTAAGTACAAAAATATTACTTAAGATGAGAAAGAACTGGAAACAATCTAAACATCTAAAATAAGGGACTGGTTAAATAAATTACAGTACATCCATACAGTGCAAAGATACACCATCACGTAATACTCAGGAGTACAGGCTCTGGAGTCAGCCTGCTTCCTGCCTGTGTCTGAATCCCAGCTCTGCCACTTCCCAGCTCTGTGATGGGGCAAACTACTTAACCTCTCTGTGCCCCAGTTTCCTCATCCACAAAAACAGGGATAACAGTAAGTACCTCATAGAATTTTTCTAAGAATTAAAATTAGTTAAGTCATGTCAAACCCTTATAACAGATAGTGTTGGCTATTTTATAGCCATTAAGATTATGTAAAATATATTTGAAAGGAAAGATAACTATAAAATAAGTAGATTACAAACTCATATGAAAGTTTCCTTAACAACAACAAAAAAAGATGATGTCAAAACCTAAAGAACTGTACACCAAAAAGAGTAAAGTTTACTAGAAGTCAATTTTTTTAAAAAAGCAATAGGCAAAGTCTAAATTATTAAAATGATGGTTAAAAGGAAAACAACACAAATGGGCCACGGAACCAGCCATATTAAATCCCAGTGTGCCATCATTTTCCAGCTATGTGACCATGGCAAGTCACTTATTCTCTCCAGACTTGTTTCTTCCTAACAAAATGGAGAATAGTTCAGGCGTGGTGGGTCATGCCTGTAATCCCAGCACTTTGAGAGGCTGAGGCGGGTGGATCACTTGAGGCCAGGAGTTCGAGACTAAGCCTGGCCAACATGGTGAAATCCCCTCTCTACTAAAAACACAAAAAATTAGCTGGACGTGGTGGTGCACACCTGTAATCCCAGCTACTTCGGAGGCTGGGGCACAAGAATTGTTTGAACCCGGGGGGCAGAGGTTTCAGTGAGCTGAGATTGCACCACTGCACTCTAGCATGGGCAACAGTGCAAGACTCTGTCTCAAAAAAAAAAAAAAGGTGGAGGGGAATAAAATTAAGTACCTATGTATTTACCTCATGGGGCTGTTGTGGGCACATAGTAGACTCAATTCAAGTTACCATTATTCTATGCACACATACACACAGAAAAAAAATCTGAAAGCATAATCACTCAAATATTAATAGTTGTTTTAGTGGGATCATGGGTAATTTTTATTATTAATTTTGTCCTAACAAAGTAATTTAAAAACACTTAAAAATATACATGTCTTTCTCATGCTAATGCCCAGAAATTCCATTTCCTTGTTATCTACAGTATATGCGTTAGTACTAACTCATACTATGCTAGCCATTAAGTGTCAACGAAAAGCAAAGCACGGGTACTGTAACTCACTGGTAGTGCTGTCAGATAACCCGCTCCATAGCTTACAGTAGGACAAAGATTGCCCATTACCTTTCCTTCCTAACTCAGTGCACATCAACTCTAACCTTTTATCATTAATAGATCACCACCCAAAACATCTTCTGAAAACTCATGGGATTATATTCTGAGAAAGAAAAACAACCCGAGTAGCACATCCTTGAAAATTCTGCTGCAAGAAGGACTCATGTGACTCCTTATATACTCACTGACGAAGCCAGGCTATCCTTTGCTACCCTGCGACAGTAACTCGCTGAGTTGGAATCAAAACAGTCCTGGTGAGTGACTGAGCTTCAGTATCCAAAGCAGCACCAACAAGTATAAGCCCAGCCTTACAGAACCATCTGGGCTTGGAGTGTACCCTCCTCTTTTGCCTCCTCAAATTCCTGATGTGTGCACGTGGCTCAGGCCCCAGCAGCCTAATATTGGGAGAAGAGCTAATCATTCTCACGTGTTTGGAGAGGCACAAGCAGGCAAAGATGAGTAAGAAAAGCGGTGCTGAGAACCACAGTGTAGGATGTTTAGACAAATGACCCATATAGACAGGAACCCAGGCGAGTCCCTCATGCTCAAATGGAAATATTTTTATCACCCAGCTCCTTATTTTGTAAACTACTACTAAGCCTTTTGTATGGCAGAAAAAGGGATAACTTTATTAGGACCAACCCCTCAGGTTCTTAAGATACTCTGGCTGCTTAGGACCTTATCAATCCATTTAAAGGTTTCTGAGGAAATCATATATGCCAACAATTAGTCTGTAATGCCCTTAGACCCAAACGCAGCTAGAAAGTCAAAGAAATAAGTGGTTACAGCTACCAGCTTGCCTTTTATATTGGAATTGCTTTGTAGGCTTTTTAGCAGTTGCTGGATTAAAAAAAAAAAATTACCTAACTAACTTATCTGGTAAAGTTGTCATGATTTACAATTATATCTAGCTGAAGTTCAGTAAAACTCAGCAGCTTGTCTTTGTCAAAATATGCTTGAGTTTCATTACAAACAGCCTAGAGATGTGTAGATTTTGTGAAAAAAAGGTGTGTCAAACATGGTGATGAAAGATTATTTCAATGTGCCTTTTAGGAGAAAAAAGTAATCACAATATTCAATGTAAGAAAATATTATTTTCTCTAAT
This sequence comes from Homo sapiens, assembly GCF_000001405.40. Classification (NCBI taxonomy): domain Eukaryota; kingdom Metazoa; phylum Chordata; class Mammalia; order Primates; family Hominidae; genus Homo; species Homo sapiens. Next base: position 110,549,633 of record NC_000012.12, read on the forward strand.
ATTAAATTTAAATGTATTTTATTAATATCTCCCAGTTACATGAGGGTGAACAGAAAGGGAAAGTAGGAATAGGAAAAAGAAAAAGGCACAGCAAAAACCAAAGCTTCTAAAGTGTAAAATCAGGATGGTTACGTGTTTTGTAACCAGTTATCTCAAGTCAAAGTAAATGATCGGGGGTCAGAGGGTCAGCAGAGCCACTCTTGAGAACATGCAGGAGGCAGTCCCCTGGAATCTGTGTCTAGGGGCTCTCTCTCCATTTAACATGTGAAGCAAGGAGATCACAGGTTAAGTGGCTTGCCCAAAGTCACACAGCAAGTTGACAGAGAGGTGCTAGAAATAGCATCTAGAATGTTTCACTATGCCAGACAAGCTCCAGATTGCATGTCCAAAACAGGGAATTAAGACAAAGCAGTATATATTGAAACTGCAAGACAAGATCCCTTTTCAGTTTGAAGGAAAACAAGTTAGTTAATCACAGCACAAAGACAGAAGACAGCAGACTGATAAAAAGAACTCCTTACAAAGGGCTTAAACTGAAAGCAAATTCTATAACAACTGTGGTGATCTCCATTAACGCTAAACAGGGGCTGATTTTTTTTTTTTTTTTTTTTTTTTGGAGATGGAGTCTTGCTCTGTCGCCCACGCTGGAGTGCAGTGGCGCGATTTTGGCTCACTGCAAGCTCCGCCTCCCAGGTTCACACCATTCTCTTGACTCAGCCTCCTAAGTAGCTGGGACCACAGGTGCCCACCACCACACCCGGCTAATTTTTTGTATTTTTAGTAGAGACAGGGTTTCACTGTGTTAGCCACGATGGTCTCAATCTCCTGACCTCATGATCCGCCCACCTCGGCCTCCCAAAGTGTTGGGATTACAGGCGTGAGCTGCCGCCCCTGGCCGAACAGGGGCTGATTTTAAATGTCAATGGTGACTGGGAAGGAGGCCTTCTAGTAACTAGAAAGATGCTGGCTATGAGCAGAAACGTAATAATACCCTCTCTGAGAGACTGCTTAGAAGGCTGGGTAAGTTCCCAGGAAATCATGTAACAAACAAACGTAGAGGCCTGGCCAAAGGATGCTCCATTAGCATACCACATAAACAAACCCTAAATACTTGGTTTTAAGTTTTCTAATACAAGATTATCGGGGATCTAATTTGTGCCAAGTTATTTCACCGACTAATCACCTGTTAGCAGTGTGGGGTGACCAAACACAACTTGAACTCATCACAGGTAATGAACTGAATTTTGCAGGCCAGACCATTTCTTTTCTTTCCTCTTGCTCTTCTTTCTTCTTTTACCAAATTTTAGAATCCCTCAACAATACAGTTTTAACTTTTTATGTTTCTAAACTTGAAATATATGGAATCAGACTGTCAGGTGGAATTCTGCAATGTTCTCTCTTCCCTTCACAACATGTTCCTGAGTAGAACATGCAGCTTTAAGTCGTTTCTTTTCACAATGCATTTTTCTACAACAGATAGACTTTTAGGTTGTCCCCAGTTCTCTGCTATTGGCAACATTTTGAGAACATTCTCATACCTATCTTTTGGTTCACGTATTGTGCAAGAGTTTCTCTAGTCTAGGGTAAACACCTAGAAGTGCAACTGCTGTGGCATACTATATGTTCATATTTAATACCAAATTGTTTTCCGAAGTGGCTGTACCTATCCACATTCCCTCCAAGCAGTACTACGTATTCTGGTTAGCCTATAGTTTCTCTTTTATTTTTTGGAGATGGAGTTTCACTCTTGTGGCCCAGGCTGGGGTGCAATGGCGCCATCTCGGCACACCGCAACATCCACCTCCCGGGGTTCAAGTGATTCTCCTGCCTCAGCCTCCCAAGTAGCTGGGATTACAGGCATGCGCCACCATGCCTGGCTAATTTTTGTATTTTTAGTAGAGATGGGGTTTCTCTATGTTGGTCAGGCTGGTCTCGAATTCCCGACCTCAGGTGATCTGCCCACCTCAGCCTCCCAAAGTGCTGGGATTACAGGCGTGAGCCACTGCGCCCAGCGGTTAGCCTATAGTTTCTCTATCACACTCTGCTTAGTAGGAAGAGCCTCAGAAAAAAGCTGGTCCGATAAATGATTTTCTTGGTTTTGTTTTTAACTATCTAGGGGGCTTCTTTAGAGGAAAACACATAAGATACCCACTTACCGAGCAAAGGGACTTTATTTTGCAGCAACTCACAGTAGCTTGTGGTGAGAATTCCAATGGGATTACTAGGTACGAACCGTCCTTCTTTTACTAAACGTTCACACGTCCGCATTAAAGTCCCTGAGAATTGAGATGGATCAACTCCATAGTCTCTCCAGCCTCCTACACCATCTGCAACCCCTGAAGAAAAAACAAAAATTACAGTAAAAGAACAATCTTACCAACTTCTCAGGAATTCTTACCTCTGTTTTCTCCTAACAGTTAATTTCACTACATGCTACTACATACATTCACTCCAAAATTCAGAATAAAAAGCACTCACGTTTAATGTATTCTACACTAACACTCCTAAGCCACATTCACTACTTAGAATTTGGCCTTTCATATATTGATGAATAAACTTTTGAGCTACCACAGGGTGGCATTGCCTACCAGCCAAGAGTTCAATTTCAGCAGGATTAGCATCTGTGTATAGACATATTTGTGTCATTAATACTTTGTCTTTTATAAGAATGAAAATTGATTTTTAAGCAAAGTGCTGATGCTAGTGACGATACAATTCAGTCAGAGCTGGAGATCACAAAGAACATCAAAAGCGGCAACCTTTTAACTCCAAACATTGGTCAATCGCTGGGAAATAAAGAACAAAACTGAGAACATATCCCATCCCCTCTCCTTCTACCCTGTAGAGGGCGGTACTGTACAATACAACAGCCATTCCTTACATGGTTACTGAGCACCCGAAATGAGGGAAGCCCAACTTGAGACATGCTCTAAGTATAAAACATACAGTGGGCCGGGCGCGGTGGCTCACGCCTGTAATCCCAGCACTCTGGGAGGCCGAGGCGGGCGGATCACGAGGTCAGGAGATCGAGACTGTCCTGGCTAACTCAGTGAAACCCCGTCTCTACTAAAAATACAAAAAATTAGCCAGGCGTGGTGGCAGGCGCCTGTAGTCCCAGCTACTTGGGAGGCTGAGGGAGGAGATTGGTGTGAACCCGCGAGGCAGAGCTTGCAGTGAGCCAAGATCGTGCCACTTCACTCCAGCCTGGGCAATGGGGCGAGACTCCGTCTCAAAAAAACAAACAAACAAACAAAACCACACACAGTGGATTTTGAAAACTTAGTATGAAAAAAAGTAAAATCTCTTTGGGAGGCTGAGGCAGGTAGATCACCTGAGGTCAGGAGATCGAGACCAGCCTGACCAACATGGTGAAACCCCGTTTCTACTAAAAATACAAAAAATTAGATGGGTGTGGTGGCAGGCAACTGAAATCCCAGCTACTCAGGAGGCTGAGGCTGGAGAATTGCTTGAACCTGGGAAGTGGAGGTTGCGGTGAGCCGAGATCGCGCCATTGCATCCCACCCTGGGCAACAAGAGTGAAACTCCATCGCTCTGTCACCAGGCTGGAGCAGTGGCGTGATCTCGGCTCACCGCAACCTCTCCGCCTCCTGGGTTCAAGGGATTCTCCTGCCTCAGCCTCCCGAGTAGCTGAGACTACAGGTGCGTGCCATCACGCCTGGCTTTTTTGTATTTTTAGTAGAGAAGGGGTTCACCGTGTTAGCCAGGATGGTCTCATCTCCTGACCTCATGATCTGCCAGCCTCGGCCTCCCAAAGTTCTGGGATTACAGGCATGAGCCACTGCGCCCGGCCCCCAAAATCTCTAATTTTTATATTCATTACTTACATACTGAAATTGTATTTTGGGCCAGGCATGGTGGCTCATGCCAATAATCCCAGCACGTTGGGAGGCCAAGGTGGGAGAATCACTTGGGCTCAGGAGTTCAAGACCTGCTTGGACAACACAGTGAGTCCCTGACTCTACTAAAAATAAAAAAATTAGCCAGGCATAGTGGTGTGCACCTGTAGTCCCAGCTACTCAGGAGGCTGAGGCGGGAGGACTGCTTGAGCCCCAGTGGTTGGGGCTACCGTGAGCCATGATTACGCCACTGCACTCCAGCGTGGGTGGATCAGCAAGACCTGGTCTCAAAAAATGAAACAGAAAAAGAATATTTTAGATATAATGCACCAAAGAGAATGCATTATCAAGACTGAGCTCACCTTTCTTTATTTACCTATTTTTTTTGAGACAGAGTCTCGCTCTGTCGCCCAGGCTGCTGGAGTACAGTGGCGTGATCTCAGCTCATGGCAACCTCTGCCTCCCAGGTTCAAGTGATTCTCCTGCTTCAGCCTCCCTAGCTGGGACTACAGGTGCTCGACACCACACCTGACTTGCATTTTTAGTAGAGACAGGGTTTTGCCATGTTGGCCAGGCTGGTCTCAAACTCCTGACTTCAAGTGATCTGCCCATCTCGGCCTCCCAAGGTGCTGGGATTATAAGCATCGGCCACTGCATCCGGCCAAATTTCACCTTTTAAAAAATTAACTATTATTATTTTTAGAGACAGTGGCTTGTTCTGTTGTCCAGGTTGGAGTGTAGTGTTACAATCACAGCTCATTGCAGTCTTGAACTCCCAGGCTTAAGTGATCCTCCTACCTCAGCCTCCTGAGTAGCAAGGACTACGGGGTCATGCCACCACACCCAGCTAGTTTTTGTTTGTCTGGCAATACAGAGTCAGGATCTCACTGTATTGCCCAGGCTTATTTTGAACTCCTGGGCTCAAGTGATCCTCCTGCCTCAGCCTCCCAAAATGCTTGGATTACAGGCGTGAGCCACCATGCCTGGCCTCTTTTTATTTTTAGTTAATATGAATATTAGGAAATTTAAAATTACATATGTGGCTCACATTATATTTCTACTGGATAGTACTAGTATAGAGATTTTCGTAGGCCCAAAGAGTTGCTGATGAGTTCAGAGTCTGCTTAGAGCTCCTTTATCAAGAGGAAATTAGTGTTTATGAAAGTCAATAAAATATCAAAGCCATCATACAATCTTCTACTCAAACTCTTGCAAAACACCAAGCTATTCTTTCCAACACTAAAACCAATTTCTATCTACTAAATTCAAAGACACTGAGAGAAAATGTCAAAAATATACATTATTAAGGCTTTAAATGGCCTTTCTGGAAGGATCCATAAGAAATATTAGCAATGGTTGCTTTAGAAATAAGGAACTGAAAACGATCCATGAACAAAATGGGAATTTTTGCCTTTTACTTCATACCATTCTGTATTAATTTTATTTTTATCATGAGCATGTATCATATGATTTTTTAAAACAGGGATTTTTTAATTTTTAAAACTTTCTGAGCATGAAACATCCTTCCCATACACACATTTATTTTTTGTACATTCAACTTTAAGAATGTATTTGGTACAAAAGTAGCAGAGTGCCTATATATACATCCCTGAAAAATTGGCTTAACATGAATTGGACATGTGAAACTATTTCTCTGGGGATGGCAGTTAACAAAAAGAAAGGGAACACATCGTGAAAAAGTAAGAGGAAACAGAATTGGAAGACATAAAGAAGGCAACAAATAGTGTATCACCACTGGGACAGCAACTTTCCCCACCTATGTGACCAACCAATAAACCAAATTTCATGACAGGGCAATTCCAAATTAGCTAATTAAAGTAATAAAAACTCTGGGATTCGTTTCAAAATATTTAAGGGGTTGAAGGGGGAGTGACAGAAGCACAGATGAAAGAAGACTGGCCATGAATGGATCGTTGTTGAAGCTGAATAAGAAGAACACCCATCTCTCTACTTTGATATATATTTGAAATTTTCCATAACACAACATTTAAATAATAACAATGATAACAAGTTTAAAAAGAAAAAAGACCCTTTTGCCTGCTGTGTGGAGAGCAAGAGCGGAAGGAGTTTAAGTAAGAGATCCATTTCATAGTCCACTCGCAATCTGCTGGCAGTGTGGTTAGAGGCGTGCAGACATTTGGTATCCATGAAACAGAACACGTGGATTGAGGGGTGAGGGAAAGAGAAGCAACCGGGCTAACTAGGGATCTATCTTACAAGGAACAGCACATTTCATTGTTTTTCAAGGAGTTGTGAAGAGGTTTGGGAAACTTATATTAAAAGAATTTAAGATCATTTCAATAGGAACTTCTTTGGAGAAACTCTTATTTTACTAGGAGTAAGATTTCACCATAATTTAAAACACAACAATTTATGTTAAAACACAGAATATAATTATAAGCCTTGCAACACTATCTGATGAATCATTCATTCTTTTCAAACCACTGCCTGCTTCAGGGAAGAATTTCTTCTTAAGTAGTCTCTGGTACAACTACAATTAACTTTAAATACAAATTGGTTTCATCTGCAAATGCTCTTCACAAGAAAACCATTAAAATCTAAGATAACGTTTAGAGTTGATCCTCGATCCTCGCACTCACTAAATAATCTGTCAGCAGGTTGAGTCTGACCTGACACAGCCCTTCAACATTAATCAGATTTCTCCCAGAATACAGCACAACCTTTTGGGCACCTGTTTGCTTTTTTACACGGGCAAAGGATGCCAAGCAAAACACCACTGACCAAATCTCTTTAGGGGAGAGAGAAATTCAAAAAGCATATAAACTCTTCAATAAAGCTGCAGGGAAAAAAGCCTTAATACAGTGCATATATATAACTAAATTATATAAGGGGAAGAGTTGTATTTGGGATGAGAATCAGACTAAAACTAGAATAACCTACTACACGTACATATGAAACCTAATTTTATTCATATTAGGTGGTTGTTTCTACACAGAAATTAATATGTCCTCTATTGCATAAGCAAAAGCTTCAGACTGCAAAGAGCAAGAATACCCTTTAAACAGTGGAACTGATCCAGATATAAAGGGAAATTTCATTCAGAATACATGTCAAAGGTAAAGAAAACTGTTAAAGGAGAAATTGCTTAAGATCCCAAAGATGTCAGGAACACAACTATCAAACAGCAAAGGATAAGAATAAGAATACCCTAAGAGCAAATGGAGGCCACACGTGGACCACCACATTGTGCATGCTGCGCTAGGAAATAAGACGGCTGAGAAAGCCGGTCTCTGAGAAGCTCCCCTGCTAGTGGGGTGCTAGACTTCTCACAGAGAAACCAGACAAACGGCTCCCATAAACACTGCTGCAGGAGGGTCAACAGCCAGTGGTTAGTGCTTACGGACACCACGAGAATGCAGCGCCTCAAGAACAGTGCCAGCCTGCTCTGAAAGTGGCATTCGGATAGGCCCTGGCAGGGGTCAGCCAGATTTCCACGGCAGGGAAGGATAACAAGAGGAAAAGAAAGGCAGACAACTAGATGCTGGGGCTTGGGTGAGCAGGGAGAAGCTGAAAAATGAAGGGCAGTAGCGAAAGTTGTAGAAAATCAAGAATGCCAGTTCAAGAACTCTAAAGTTCTTTATGCTACTGACCTGTGCTGTCTAACATGGGAGCCACTAGCCACATGTGGCTATTGAGTCTAAAATCTCACTTGTTTGGATTGAGAAGTGCTTGCTATGAAGTGTAAAATACATTCTGGATTCCAAAAACTTAGTACCAACAAAAGAAAAACTAAAATGACTTAGTAGTAGTTTTGTTTTCTTTTAAGAGATGGGGTCTCACTCTAGCCCAGGCTGGAGTAGTGGCCTGATCATAGCTCACTGCAGTCTTGAACTCCTGGGCTCAAGTATTCCTCCCACCTCAGCCTCCTTAGTAGCTGGGATTACAGACACACCCTGATACACCCCGCTACTTTTTTTTTTAAGTTTTTGTAGAAACAGGGTCTCACTATGTTGTCCAGGCTGGTCTCAAACTTCTGGGCTCAAGCAATCTCACACCTTGGCCTCCCAAAGTGCCGAGATTATGGGCATGAGCCACAGGATCTGGCCAAGTTTAACACATATATTAGGCATACTCAAGAGGTTAACAACGATAATAAAACAGAATAATTATAACAATATACTATAATAAATGTTGTGTGAATGTGGTCTCTGTCTGTATTATTGTTAGGTAATGTGGGTATATTAGTCCATTCTCATGCTGCTATGAAGAAATACCTGAGACTAGGTAATTTATAAAAGACGGAGGTTTAATTGAGTCACAGTTCTGCATGGCTGGGGAGGCCTCAGGAAACTTACAATCATGGCAGAAGGGGAAGCAAACACATCCTTCTTCACATGGCAGCAGGAGAGAGAAGTGCTGAGCAAAGGGGGAAAAGCCCCTTATAAAACCATCAGATCTTATGAAAACTTCACTATCACAATAGCAGCATGAGGGTTTATGGGGATTATTATGGGAACTACAATTCAAGATGAAATTTGAGTGGGGACAATGCCAAAACACATCAGTGGGTAATTGAAACCTCAAATAAGAGGGAACTACTGTTTCTGGATTTGGGGAATTAGAAAATATTGATTAGATTATTCTACAGTTGGCAAGGGTGTGTAAATGCCTTTAAAAGACATTTAATTCTGTCTTGGGTATGTCAAACTTCAGGTGCCAGCAGGGCATCTTTGTGGAAGTGTTGTGTATAAAGTGAGGAACTATGAGTTTGCGGCTGGCAAGGCAAGTTGGGGCCAGAAAATCTGAGAATTGATACCTTAGTGGTAGGGTATCCAGTTTGTCAGAATGATATAATCTCTATGGAGGTAGAGAGAAGTGAAGCTAAAAAGGAGGCTGAATTAATGACTAGAAGGGCCTTGAATGCCAAGATAAAGAGGTTGCACCGAATATAGAAGCTATTTCCTTTAATTCACTGTAATCATCTTATGTCTCCATTAATAACATTCTGTGAGCACACATCTAGCTTAAGTGTTTCCCTTGACCCAAAATCCAATTAAAATCACTATTAGATTAAGATAATGGTTACATATCAGAAATAGCTGAGCAAAAGATTGAGAAGAGACCATAGGGCACAGAAAAATCCTTTAGTGTTTTTGTTTGTTTTTGTTTTTTGAGACGGAGTCTCGCTCTGTCGCCCAGGCTGGAGTGCAGTGGTGCGATATTGGCTCACTGCAACCTCCGCTTCCCAGGTTCAAGTGATTCTCCCGCCTCAGCCCCCCAAGTAGCTACCACGCTCCGCTAATTTTTTGTATTTTTAGTAGAGACGGGGTTTCACCGTGTTGGCCAGGATGTTCTCAAACTCTTGACTTCATGATCCGCCCGCCTCGGCCTCCCAAAGTGCTGGGATTACAGGTGTGAACCACCGTGCCCAGGCTAGTTTTATCTTTTCAATGGAAATGTCAGTTTTATGAAGCAAAACGAGCAATTAGAAAATAGTTACAGTATTTATGTTTTTACAAAGTATTTTATTAAGTTTTCCATAGACTGATGCTTTTTCCCTTTTTCTTTTTTTAACAGCATCCTGCTCTGTCACCCAGGCTGGAGTGCAGTGGTGCAAACACAGCTCACTGCAACTTTGAACTCCTGGGCTCAAGGGATCCTCCCACTTCAGCCTCCAGAGTAGCTATGACTACAGGAATGCACCAACACACACAACTCATTTTTTTAAAAATTTTTTTTGTAGAGATGCGGTCTCATTATGTTGCCCAGGCTGGTCTCAAACTCCTGGGGTCAAGTGATCCTCCTGCCTCAGTCTCCCAAAGTGCTGGGATTACAAGCACAAATCACCATGCCTGGTTTCTACAGTTAAGAGTTAAAAAGGGAAGCAAAAAGAGTAATTCTGGGTGTCTGCCATCATTAAGTGTTTATAAGAAGAAAAAAATTTTTTTTTTTTTTTAAGAAATGGGGTCTCGGGCCCAGCGTGGTGGTTCACGCCTGTAATCCCAGCACTTTGGGAGGCCGAGGTGGGCAGATCACTTGAGGTCAGGATTTCAAGACCAGCCTGTCCAACATGGTGAAACCCCGTCTCTACTAAAAATACAAAAATTAGCTGGGTGTGGTGGTGCGTGCCTGTAATCCCAGCTTCTTGGGATGCTGAGGCAGGAGAATCACTTGAACCTGGGAGGTGGAGGTTGCAATGAGCCAAGATTGCATCACTGCACCCCAGCCTGGGCGACAGAGCAAGACTCAGCCTCAGGGGAAAAAAAAAAAAAAAAAAAAGAAATGGGGTCTCACTCTGTCACCCAGACTGGAATGCAGTGGTGTAGTAATAGCTCACTGCGGCCTCAAACTCCTGAGCTCAAGAGATTCTCCCATTTCAGCCTCCTGAATATCTGGGACTACAGGCATGTGCCACCATACCCAGCTATTTATTTTTTGTAGGGATGGGTCCTCGCCATGTTGCCCAGGGTGGTCTTGAACTCCTAGGCTGAAGTGATCCTCCTGCTTCGGCCTCCCAAAATGCTAGAATTACAGGAATGGGCCACTGAGCCCAGCCAAGAAGAAAATTCTTAAGCAATTTTCATTTTTCTAATTAACATGTTTTTGTCTTTGCCAAAATGGTATAACCATGTAAAATGGTAGTTATGACCAGGCGTGGTAGCTCATACCTGTAATCCCAGCATATTGGGAGGCTGAGGTAGGAGGATTGTTTGAGCCAAGGAATTCGAGACCAGCCTAGGCAACATAGCAAAACCCGTCTCTACAAAAAAATTTAAAAATCAGCCAGGGATGGTGGCACACACCTGTAGTTCCAGCTAAACAGGAGGCTGAGGGTGGGAGGACTGCTTGAGTCCAGGAGGTCAATGCTGCAATGAGCTGTGATCACACTACTTGCACTTCAGCCTGAGCGACAGAGCGAGACCCTGTCTCAAAAAATAAAAAATAAAAAAAGGTAGTTATAACCAAATGATAGCTATCTTAAAAATCCTATCTTCCCAATTACACAGTCACCTAACTGTGTAATTGCAAAAGGCTTACTATAAGAAAGACTTCTGAACTAGTCAAAATCAGCAAGAGCGTCTCCAGTCCTGTCCTCCATTAACAGCCATCAACATGATGTTGCAATTATTTTAAACCCCTCCTACTGCACTCATCTTCAGACTGACATGCAGTTACCTACAAAGCAAACGTTTTCTAGAAGAACGCGATGCCTAGAGAATAAATACTAAACTTCAATTTTAATATAAGCATCAATGAAGAAAAACAATTTGATTTTGTCCAAAAATGTATTTAATGTACACTCTGGAAGAATTTCAAATATTAAGTAGTATCCAAAGGTAATAGCTTTATTCCTTGCATCTTTGATGATCTCAAGGCATCTTACATCAAGCCTCGCATTCCAAAGAAGCATACTGGCTCTACATGGATTGTCTTTCCATCAGTGAAACACATCTCCTGCCTACTAGGATGGGTACTTGATAGTGAGTTGAAACTCTAGAGGAGAAACTGAATAAGAATCTGGCAGGATCACAATAATTGAATAACAGAAGTATCAGGAGACCCTCTGCACTCTAAGGAATAAGGGTATCTGCTTTTACAGACTTTCTGCAGTAAGGGGCCATCTAATGAGAAAGGGGGCTAAGCAATATTTATTGCAGTACGACAGGCATCTTTTCAGATGCTGAGGCTTTTCAAAGACTTTAGTGTTCTCAGAGCCAGCCTCATTTGTCTAAAGACATCACAGCATGAAGCACTGTAACTAGAAAAAAAATGAGATCAGAGTAGAAACTCAATTTCCTATCCAATGGAACAGATCACATTTATATCAACATTTCTTTTTTTTTTCTTTCTTTCTTTTTTGAGATGGAGTCTCACTCTGTGGCCTAGGCTGGAGTGCAGTGGCGCAATCTCAGGTCACTGCAACCTTCGCCTCCCAGGTTCAAGTGACTCTCCTGCCTCAGCCTCCCGAGTAGCTGGTATTACAGGCACCCACCACCATGCTTGGCTAATTTTTCTATCTGTAATACAGACATGGGGTTTCGCCATGTTGGCCAGGCTGGTCTCAAACTCCTGACCTCAAGTGATTGCCCCCCAACACAGCCTTGGGCTCCTAAAGTTCTGGGATTACAGGCATGAGCAACCGCATCCAGCCTATATCAACATTTCTTAAACCTCAACTATTTGGGCACTTAAGAACGCTCCCGACGGGGTGCAGTGGCTCATGCCTGTAATCCCAGCACTGTGGGAGGCTGAGGCGGGTGTATCATTTAAGCTCAGGAGTTCAAGAGCAACCTGGGCAACATGGTAAAACCTCCGTCTCTACTAAAAATACAAAAAATTAGCCAGGCATGGTGGCACACACCTGTGGTCCGAGCTGCTTGGGGGACAGGGGTAGAAGGATCACTTGAGCCCGGGAGCTGTGATCGTGCCACTGTACATGAGCCTGGGTGACACAGCAAGACCTGCCTCAAAAAAAACCCCAACAAAACAAAAAACACTCCCCTGTGATTCAAGACTGTGAAATGTTGTATCTGCAAATAATTATCCCAAACGGAGAGTCGCTTGAGCCAGGAGGTTGAGGCTGCAGTGAGCTATCACTGTGCCACTGCAATCCAGTCTGGGTGAAAGAGCAAGACACTGTCTCTATTTTAAAAATGAAAAAAATTAGCCATGCCTGGTGGCGCATGCCTGTAGTCCCAGCTACTCGGAAGGCTGAGGCAGGAGAATCGTTTGAACCCAGGAGGCGGAGGTTGCACAGGGAGCTGAGATCGCACCACTGCACTCCAGCCTGGGCAACAGATTGAGACTCCATCTCAAAAAAAAAAAAAAAAAAAAAAAAAAAAAATCCAAAATGAATGAAAAGCAGGATGACTGAAAAAATATATTCAACAAATATATTCTGTCAAGTTATACAGAAAAATGTCATGTGCTTTTTGACTAACAACAGTCCTTTCAGTTCTATGGAGGTAAAATTATATAGATTATGCTGCACTTCCTGTTTTAACAAGCAAGTGAAATACTCCCTTTGCAAGAAGTTTCCGGCCCAGTGCAGTGGCTCACACCTATAATCCCGCACTTTGGGAGGCTGAGGTAAACAGATCACTTGAGGTCAGGAGTTTGAGACCAGCCTGGCTAACATGGTGAAACTTCATCTCTACTAAAAATACAAAAATGACCCAGGTATGGTGGCGCATGACTGTAATACCACCTAGCTGGGTAACTGAGGCAGGAGAATCGCTTGAACCCAGGAAGCAGAGGTTGCAGTGAGCTGTGATTGAGCCACTGCACTCCAGCCTGGGTGACAAAGCGAGACTCTGTCTCAAAAAAGAAAAAAGAAGAGGAAAAAAAAAAAGAAGAAAGATGTTTCTGGCCAGTCGCGGTGGCTCATGCCTATAATCCCAGCACTTTGGGAGGTCGAGGCGGGTGGATCACCTGAGGTCAGGAGTTCGAGACCAGCCTGGCCAACATGGCAAAACCCTGTCTCTACTAAAAATACAAAAATTAGCTGGACTTGGTGGTAGGCACCTGTAGTCTCAGCTACTTGGGAGGCTGAGACAGAATTGCCTGAACCTGGGAGGCAGAGATTGCAGTAAGCAAAGATTGCGCCATTGCACTCCAGCCTGGGCGACAGGGTGAGTGAGACTCCATCTCAAAAAAAAAAAAAAAAAAAAAAAAAAGAAGAAGAAGAAAAAAGAAGTTTCCATTCCACATTAATCACAATGAAATCTGTGTCTTTTGATTCTCCAGAGATCAAGACTACGTCAAGAACAAGATCTCTAAGCAGAAGTTAATTCAAAAGTGAAGGTAATGAAGCTCAAAGGATGGACTGAAAAGTTCAACCCTGTAATAAAACATGTGAAAATGGCCGCATGAGGTGGCTTACGCCTGTAATCCCAGCACTTTGGGAGGCCAAGGCAGGTGGATCACCTGAGGTCAGGAGTTCAAGACCAGCCTGGCCAACATGGTGAAACCCCATTTCTATTAAAAATCAAAATTAGCCAGGCGTGGTAGCACATGCCTGTAATCCCAGCTACTCAGGAGACTGAGGCAGTAGAATCCCTTGAACCTGGGAGGCAGAGGTTGTGGTGAGCCGAGACTGCGCCACTGCACGCCAGCCTGGGCAACAAGAGCGAAAATCTGTCTCAAAAAAAAAAAAAAGTGTGAAAATGGAAACTATAGGCAAAACTCAAACAACAAAATCAAAGCTGTAGTAAGCGGTTCATTTTGTGTTTGAGAATTCCAAACAAAATAGTTAGCTATTCCTTGCTAGCTTAGTAATTATGAGACAACTTAAGAATTAATCAAATTAATGAGCCTCCACATACACTTACACCTATGTCTAGAATACTTCATTAACTAGAGAAGATAATTTCCAGACTATTCTGGGCAGTTGCCTTGTCTTAAAAAGCAGTGAAAAGTGCTGACATGAGGATTAGGAAACAATTGTGTGAAGGCAAAGAAACTTAAAGTCATCCTTTTAAAAATAAAAATGTTCTTCCTTTAACTTCAATAATTCTGTTTAAATACCAATACTTAATGTGGAATTATCTATTCTGGCTCAACTGTGGCTTGGGAACTTGTGCAAATTACAAACTTGGTATGAATCACTGGTCTGCCTTCCACAAACTGCAGAGTTGAAGGTTAAGTTACTGAAAAGGTCACTTCACTCCTTTCTGGCCTGCAACAGTATCTTCCTCAAATGCCAAATGCTGTTAGCAATGTTTCTGGACAGGAGGAGGCAACAAACAAATCATCTGGGAGGTCATACTTATTGTAAGTTATGAATAGCAGAGACAGGGCACTAATTATGTTACAGAAGTAAGGGCCTCTATTAAAGCTGTGGCTTCAGTTTGTTTTCAGGTGTTAGAAAATGTCACATAATACCAAATAATTCAAAAATTAAGTAAGGAAGTAACAAGCAATTAAGACCAGCTATCTGATATATGCCTACTTGTACTGGCCCTTTAGGCTGGGGAGAAGATTTTCCTTCTGTTTATAATTTACAAGATTAGATCTAGAATTCTTGTCAACCTGATATTTATGACAAGCCATATATCCTTGACCTAACCCCAAAGAAGATACTATTTACCCACTGCTTTCTTCACCCTCTATAAAAATAAGGGCTGGCCTTGACTAAAATAGGCACCCTCTGGGAGAGGTCTATAGTCACATGCGGCCTGGCACAAATGTAACTTTTTTTTTCCTTTAAACGAGAACATCATTCCTTTGAATAGCCTGCCAAGTGTAGAACTGTCTCTTAATTTCTGAACACTAATTTATATACACATATATATACACGTATATATATACATACACGTTATATATATATACACGTATATGTATATGTGTATATATACATACACGTTATATATATATACACGTATATGTATATGTGTATATATACATTGTTTTTTTTTTTTGAGATGGAATTTCACTTTTGTCGTCCAGGATGGAGTGTGATGGCACAATCTTGGCTCACTGCAACCTCCACCTCCTGGGTTTAGGAGACTCTCCTGCCTCGGCCTCCTGAGTAGCTGGGATTACAGGCACCCGTCACCATGCCCGGTTCATTTTTTGAATTTTTAGTAGAGACGGGGTTTCACCATGTCAGCCAGGCTGGTCTCAAACTTCTGACCTGAGGTGATCCACCCGCCTCAGCCTCCCAAAGTGCTGGGATTACCCACCACGCCTGGCCTATATTTTTTACTCTATACATTGTTCAACTAAGTAATGATCTTTGAGTAGTAGGACAATGAGTACTTTTTTTTTCTTTTTCATACTTTTTTTGTTTTGTTTCGTTTTTCAGACGGAGTCTCGCTCTGTCGCCCAGGCTGGAGTGCAGTGGCATGAACTTGGCTCACTGCAACCTCCGCCTCCCAGGTTCAAGCGATTCTCTGCCTCAGCCTCCTGAGTAGCTGGGATTACAGGCGCCCACCACCATGCTGGGATAAGTTTTGTATTTTTAGTAGAGACGGGGTTTCACCATCTTGGCCAGGCTGGTCTTGAACTCCTGACCTTGTGATCCATCCCGCCTTGGCCTCCCAAAGTGCTGGGATTACAGGCGTGAGCCACCGTGCCTGGCCCATACTTTCCAATTTTTTAGCAATGAGTAATGTTACTTTCATGGGAAGGATGACAAGAACTATTTATGTAAATCAGGTAAAAACCACATTCTATACTCACATTTAATATTAAAACTATTCAAAACATTCTATTGGACATTTACTGTATGCAAGACACTATGGTGAAAGGGAGCTAAAGATTTATATGTAATAAAATATTTCCTGCATATGGGAACTTAAAATGAAGTGATGATTTTGGTTGGGGAGGACAGTTTAGGGAGATTCAAGATATATGACTATAATAAAGTAAAATATGCACCAATAAAAACAAAAGCAAAGAAGGTCAGATTATGCATAGCTGAAGGAATCAAAAGGATTAATGAAGAAGTGTCTGAAATGAGCCTTGAAGGATGAAAGAAAATGAGTTGTAGGAGAGGAGGCTGACAAGACAGGCATTTTGAGCAATTCCCTAGGATTCTGACTTACATGAATAAAGTACAAGTCATAGCAGGTGAGGGTTCCAAGAGCAGGGAAACTTGACCTCCAGGTAAATGTCTATTACATTCATGCCAGGAACCTCTCACCATTAATCAGCGCAAACAATGCAGTGCAGAGCTTACGGCATTTAGGAGTCCCTGGAAGGAAAGGCTGGCCTGAGGCTACCAAACTCAACAAGGCTTGTTAAGTTTTTGTTTTAACTAATAGTTAACAGTTAAGCAAAACCCCTTAATTAAAACAAAAGCAATAGCTAATAACTAAGTAGAAGTCACAATCAGCCAAAATCACCTCCCTAAAAGAAAATCTAAAATGATCTTTTCTAACTGGAAAGGCAGTGTGGGATACTGAGCAAGGACACAGGCTCTGGAGGCAGATCTGGGTTCAAACTCCAGCCCCAGAACAAGATGTGCTAAGCATGGCCTTGGGCAGCTCTCTGAGCTTCAGTAGCTTCACCTGTGAATGGAGTCGTATCCTCGATTTCACAGGGCCGGTGTGAGGAACGAGGATAACCTCTTCAGAACATCTACCAGTGCTCCGCTCACAGCCAACATTCAGCAAGTTAGAGTTATGCCTATCTCTAAGAAAGGCTGGCGAGCAGCAAACAGACCAGCCTAGACTGCAGCAATCAGAAAAAAAAGAGTCTTTGACCCATGTTTGTAGGCTGCCAGCTCTACAAACACTAGTCTGTGGTCACAACCAAAAGACAATGCCCACTCAGAGATAATGCATAAAAGATAAGTAGTCCATTCAGCTCTTTCAGTCACACATCCACCACCATTCAATATTCCATTAAACATTCAATAGTAACATTTTCAAGTACTAATAAACATATATTTGTCTCCAAAAATAACAAGGAAAAAAGGATTTACCTGCACTTTGAAAAGAATATTTTCCCCAGAAGGACTCTGAAGTAACCTTACTTAGCAAATACTTCAGAGCCTGCTGCCTCCTGTGTCAGGATTCCAACTCAAAGATTTCTCATTTTACATGGGAAATCCTAAAACTATGAGGAATACATACATGGGCCTAACCATTTTCTTCGTCACTACAATAATACCAGTGCCTTTATAGCGATCTTCCCTTCTCTTTTCTTCCCCTGTACATTGTGAGCCTCCAAAGGGCTGAGTCTCACACAGCTAACCGTTGTTTCATCCCCACTGGCTGGCCTAGTACCTGGCTCAATGATTCCCCACCCTTGCTGCACAATGAGATTACCTATGGAACCCCAGCCCTACTCCCTGAATCGGTGTGGCCAGGGTGGGCCTAGGCCTCTCAGCACAGGCGATTCTAATGAGAATCAATGGTCCAGCTGGATGGAAGCATTCCACAAGCCTGATGGTTCTGCCTGTAAAATGCCTCTTGTACCAAGCAATCCCATTTTCTGTTCCCAAACTTGATCCTTCCTTTTGCATTTCCCACCCTAATTAATGGCAGCCCAGCTACCCATACATACTTCCAGGCTTAGAACCCTTAAGGCATCTTCCAAGTGCAAAACCTCTAACTCAATTTCCACTCCTCTTTCTCTTTTATCCTCTGACCAATTATCACCAAGCCTACCATGAGTCTGAAGCTCAACTACTTCCCACTGCCCTAGGTAAAGCCCTTTCTAGCTCAGACAATTTCAGTAGCTTCGTAACTGGTCTTTTGCCTCCTGTTCTCCCATTACACCCTCTGTATCGATTTGTTTTTTACAACACTGCAATGTCCATGTTACTCCTCTAGTCAAATACCTTCCATGTAATATGTATTTATTTGCTTGTATATGTGAAATATTCTTTAGAAGGATACACAGAAACTAGTACTGGTTGCCTCTTGAGAGGACTTTGTAGCTTGGAGACAAGGGTGATGAGACTTCACTGTGCACTCTTGAATTCTGAACACCTTTTAAATTCTGTACCATTTGAATGTGCTGCCTCTTCAAAAGCAAAGACCTCTTTCTACAGCTTCCTCCCCACCCACCCCCCAAAAAACAAACCAAACCAAACAAAAAACCCACCCAATTCCTTAACATGATAATTTAGTCTCAGTCTATTTTCTAACATCAATTCTCAACACTGACCCCTATGCCGACCCTACCAGCCATGAAACAGCTGTAGTTTTGGGGATCTACTTTGCCTTTGCTGAGCCCTCAATCTGGAGTATTCCCATTCTTCTCATTTGCCTCAGCTTACTGAAAAACCCTTCTCTTAAGGCCTGACGTTGTGCCCCTACAATCTCATGCGTTTTTTTTTTTTTTTTTGAGACGGAGTCTTGCTCTGTCACCCAGGCTGGAGTGCAGTGCCGCGATCTCGGCTCACTGCAAGCTCCGCCTCCCGGGTTCACGTCATTCTCCTGCCTCAGCCTCCTGAGTAGCTGGGACTACAGGCGCCTGCCACCACGCCCGGCTAATTTTTTGTATTTTTAGTAGAGATGGGGTTTCACCATGTTAGCCAGGATGGTCTCGATCTCCTGACCTCGTGATCCGCCCACCTCGGCCTCCCAAAGTGCTGGGATTACAGGCGTGAGCCACCACGCCTGGCCCTCATGCATATTCTTTCACACCAGTCCTGTGCATGTTTGCCTTCCCCACAGGACTATGAAACATCAGGGTTGAAGTCTGTTTTGTTCATTGGTCTTTAAAACAACTGTCAGGGACTAATAGGAAGCAACCAATAAACAATGAATTCAGCTGACCACACTGAAAAGTTAGAACACCAATATCTGGTATACAAACTTTCAGCCAAAAACTCCAAAGGGATTGAACCTAGTAATGGATCCTAGCGTTTCACAAGGTGTCATTCCCTGGGTCAGAACTCGCTACAAGATGTTCCTCTAACAGGCCATTCAAAGAGAAGGCTGCCAGGCAAGGTGGCTCAAGCCTGTAGTCTCAACTACTTGAGAGGCTGAGGCAGAAGGATGGCTTCAGTCCGGGAGGTCGAGGCTGCAGTGCACTACAACTACACCTGTGTAGAGAATAGCTACTGCACTCCAGCCTGGGCAACACAGCAAGACCCTGTCCCCGCCCCCCCCCCTCAAAAAAAGCCAGGTGCAGTGGCTCACGCCTGTAATCCCAACACTTTGGGTGGCCAAGGTGGACAGATCACTTGAGGTCTGGAGTTCAAGACCAGCCTGGCCAACATGGTGAAACCCCATCTCTACTAAAAATACAAAAATTAGCCGGGCATGGTGGCGGGCACCTGTAATCCCAGCTACACGGAAGGCTAAGGAAGGAGAATTGCTTGAACCCAGGAGGCGGAGGTTGAAGTGAGCGGAGATCACACCACTGCCCTCCAGCCTGGGCGACAGAGTGAGACTCTGTCTCAAAAAATAAAAAGTAAAAATAAATAAAAATAAAAAAAGAGAAAGAGAGGGCTGAGCTGATGGAAAGAGCATTAAAGAAAAGTCTGGAGATAACACTGCTCCCAACTTTCTTTGCCACTAACTGGACCTAAGACACTGGTCAGATCGTTTCTCTAAGCTTTAGTTTCCTCATCTGTGAAATGAGGGGCAGGAAGACACAGTCTCTCTAGAGTCCCTTTCTCGGATCCAAGACTGTGGGACTTATAAGTCACACTGCAGGAAAAAAAGAGCCAGTTTAAGAAACTTTATAAACAAAGGCTAACAAATAAGGCTATCCTGTCTTCATTCACTTAGGAAAAGAAAACAAAACAAATAGGGCTATACTTTGCATTTCACATACAATATTACATTTACTGCATGAACTAGTTTTGAAACAAAGCCTTCATTTCTGGCTTCCCAATTTATCTCTTGTCCTTATTGCACTGCCACATGTATATTTCCAGTGAAGTTTCAATAATGATTTAGAGAGTGGAAACAGTGCCCCTTGTCCTTTCACTTTAGTTTTAAACACCTAACTAAAATGTTGGCAAAGTTTTTCTTAAAGCCACTAACAAACACCTCAACCACTTTTCAATCTGAAATCCTAATAAAAGAATAAAAGATGATGGCCAAGCACAAGATCCTGGAACAACAACAACAACAACAAAGATGGTTATAAATTAGTATTTGTGGGGAAAAGCAAGAGAGATCAGATTGTTACTGTGTCTGTGTAGAAAGAAGTAGACATGGGAGACTCCATTTTGTTATGTACTAAGAAAAATTCTTCTGCCTTGAGATTCTGTTAATCTATAACCTTACCCCCAACCCCATGCTCTCTGAAACGTGTGCTGTGTCAACTCAGAGTTGAATGGATTAAGGGCGGTGCAGGATGTGCTTTGTTAAACAGATGCTTGAAGGCAGCATGCTCCTTAAGAGTCATCACCACTCCCTAATCTCAAGTACCCAGGGACACAAAAACTGCGGAAGGCCGCAGGGACCTCTGCCTAGGAAAGCTAGGTATTGTCCAAGGTTTCTCCCCATGTGATAGTCTGAAATATGGCCTCGTGGGAAGGGAAAGACCTGACCGTCCCCCAGCCCGACACCCGTAAAGGGTCTGTGCTGAGGAGGATTAGTAAAAGAGGAAGGAATGCCTCTTGCAGTTGAGACAAGAGGAAGGCATCTGTCTCCTGCCTGTCCCTGGGCAATGGAATGTCTCGGTATAAAACCCGATTGTATGCTCCATCTACTGAGATAGGGAAAAACCGCCTTAGGGCTGGAGGTGGGACCTGCGGGCAGCAATACTGCTTTGTAAAGCACTGAGATGTTTATGTGTATGCATATCTAAAAGCACAGCACTTAATCCTTTACATTGTCTATGATGCCAAGACCTTTGTTCACGTGTTTGTCTGCTGACCCTCTCCCCACAATTGTCTTGTGACCCTGACACATCCCCCTCTTTGAGAAACACCCACAGATAATCAATAAATACTAAGGGAACTCAGAGGCTGGCGGGATCCTCCATATGCTGAACGCTGGTTCCCCGGGTCCCCTTCTTTCTTTCTCTATACTTTGTCTCTGTGTATTTTTCTTTTCCAAATCTCTCGTCCCACCTTACGAGAAACACCCACAGGTGTGTAGGGGCAACCCACCCCTACATCTGGCGCCCAACGTGGGGCTTTTCTCTAGGGTGAAGGTACGCTCGAGCGTGGTCATTGAGGACAAGTCGACGAGAGATCCCGAGGACGTCTACAGTCAGCCTTACGGTAAGCTTGTGCACTCGGAAGAAGCTAGGGTGATAATGGGGCAAACTAAAAGTAAAATTAAAAGTAAATATGCCTCTTATCTCAGCTTTATTAAAATTCTTTTAAAAAGAGGGGGAGTTAAAGTATCTACAAAAAATCTAATCAAGCTATTTCAAATAATAGAACAATTTTGCCCATGGTTTCCAGAACAAGGAACTTTAGATCTAAAAGATTGGAAAAGAATTGGTAAGGAACTAAAACAAGCAGGTAGGAAGGGTAATATCATTCCACTTACAGTATGGAATGATTGGGCCATTATTAAAGCAGCTTTAGAACCATTTCAAACAGAAGAAGATAGCATTTCAGTTTCTGATGCCCCTGGAAGCTGTTTAATAGATTGTAATGACAACACAAGGAAAAAATCCCAGATGTAGGGGTGGGTTGCCCCTACAGTATTAATTGACTTCACGAAGTCAAATGATCTATAAATACTCATGTATAGAATTGTACAGTAATTATTGCTGCTCACCTCTAACTGTGCCTAATTTATAAATTAAACTTTATCACAGGTGTGTATGAATGTACAGGAAAAAACATAGCCTATATAGGGTTTCATACTAAAGAGCTTCAGGCATCCACAAAACATACTAACCTTGTTATTCAAAGACCATTGATTGTTTGGTGAATTGTGTATTGTAATAAGAAAAAAATGACAGGATCAAAATGGCCTTTCAAAACCAAGAGAAATGGATTTCTAAGAACAATGCATACATAAGGCATCCTTATTTAGACTTTCTAATTTCATAGAAACACTAATGGTTCCATCACCAATTAGTGGTCAACCTAGAGGCCATAAACAGTTTTCTAGCTCTTATGGAAATAGCTTAAATCTTATTTTCTTGCCCCAAATTGCTATTCAAACATAGCAGATATGAAAACAGAAGCACTTTTTGTTTGCCTCATTCAGCCCAGCCAACCTTTTGCATTTACCTCAAATGACAGCATAGACTAATTTTGGTAAGTCAAAAAACTTGCTAGATAACAGCATCCTTGAAAGATAACAACGTGGCTAGGTGCAGTGGCTCACCTCACACCTGTAATCTCAGAAGTTTAGGAGGCCAAGGTGGGTGGATCACGAGGTCAGGAGTTCAAGAACAGCCTGGCCAACATAGTGAAACCCCATCTCTACTAAAAATACAAAAATTAGCCGGGTGTGGTGGCATGTGCCTGTAGTCCCAGCTACTAGGGAGGCTGAGGGAGAATCGCTTGAACCCGGGAGGTGGAGGCTGCAGTGAGCCAAGACCACGCCATTGCACTCCTGCCTGGGTGACAGAGTGAGACTCCGTCTTAAAAACAAAAAACAAAAAACAAAAAAGATAACAATGTACAGAGTAGTCCAAAAAGAAATAAATTCCCTTTCTCTTCAAAATACTCTGTTAATGAATACGAGAACAGTGCAAACGTGTGTTGGAATTCACCAAGTAAAAATAGTACTGGGCCCTTCAGCAGAAAGCACTCTTTGTAGAAAGTCACTTTCGTAGTCTCTGGCAAAGTTTTTGCAGTCATTTTGTAGTCCTTAGGATTCATACCAACAATTCAATCCATTCTAGAACTTATTCACCTCAAAAACAACTATTTAGGAACCTAGTAAATTTATAAATTCTTAAGTGAGACAGACTCAAGATCAACAATAAGCTTGCTGATGAGAGCAATTTCACCACAGTTGGGAAAGTAATATATAACCTTTCTGGAGGACCTATCGTAATCTTTTTTAAGTTTTTATTTATTTATTTATTTATTTATTTTTGAGACGAGTCTCACTCTGTCACCCAGGCTGGAGTGCAGTGGCATGATCTCAGCTCACCGCAACCTCCGCCTCCCGGGTTCAAGTGATTCTCCTGCCTCAACCACCAGAGTAGCTGGGATTACAGGCGCCCGACACTACGCCCAGCTAATTTTTGTATTTTCAGTAGAGACGGGGTTTCACCATGTTGGCCAGGCTGCTCTCAAACTCCTGACCTCAAGTGATCCACCTACTTTGGCCTCCCAAAGTGTTGGGATTATAGGCGTGAGCCACCACGTCCGGCCCTATGGTCATCTTTATATCAAAGGCCTTGCAAATGCTCATAGGCTTTGACCCAGGAATTCCTCTTCAAGGAATTACCCTGAGGAAATATTCAGATGTAAAGAGATACTCATTCTAGTGTTATTTATAACAGAAAATTGGAAACAACCTAAATAACTACAAATAGAGGACTGGTTTAGTAACTGATGGGCTATACATGCAGGAGAATATGATGCAGTTATGCTTACCAGTATGGAAACATGCACTCCAGCATGCTTCTGGAGTCACACACTATTAAAAACTCCATTTGCACACTGTTGCAACTTTTTAAAAGCTTTACAGAGTAGGATGCATATTAATCCAACATGTATTCTGTTTTTTAATAACATGTATACAATTATATACACAAAGGCTAGAGGGAACCACAATGACTATAGCTTACTATAGCTGAGTTATGATTTATAGGTGTTTTATATGGTACTTTTCTGAAGATGTGTTACTTTTATAAGCACTAAACATCCATTTATTTAAAAGCACTACACAGGCCAGGCACGGTGGCTCACACCTGTAATCCCAGCACTTTGGGAGGCCGAGGCGGGCAGATTACTTGAGATTGGGAGTTCAAGACCAGCCTGACCAACATGGAGAAACCCCGTCTCTACTAAAAATACAAAATTAGTCGGGTGTGGTGGCACATGCCTGTAATCCCAGCTACTCGGGAGGCTGAGGCACGAGAATCGCTTGAACCCGGGAGGCGGAGGTTACGGTGAGCCGAGATTGTGCCATTGCATTCCAGCCTGGGCAACAAGAGCAAAACTCTGTCTCTAAATAAATAAATAAATAAATAAAGGCACTACACAGGCTGGGCACGTGGTTCATGCCTTAAATCCCAGTACTCTGGGAAGCTGAGGTGGGAGGATTGCTGGAGCCCAGGAATTTGAGACCAGCCCAAGCAACACAGAGAGACTCTGTCTCCACAATAATTAAAAAAAAAAAAAAAAAAAAAAAAAAAAAAAAATTAAAAGCATTAGACATGCAAGCAAGAGACCTAGGTTCAAGTCCCAATATAATACTAACTATACCACCCTTACTTGATGTGTCAGTTTTATAGATGAGGAAACAGATTCACATTAAGTGGAGATAAGAGCAGCAGCTTCGTAGTTACAAAGATTAAATAAGGTAAAACATAAAAATGCTTTGCAACTTCTAAGGCACTATATAAAGCACTAGAAGGATGGGAGAATCATGTTTTGTGTCAGATATGAAACAACTGGCTTAGAAAAAAAAAAGAATGAAGCATTTTTACTCCTTAAAGAAAAGCTTCTGTCCTTCCCCATTGCCCAATCCTCAACCCCCAATCCTGTTGGGGATTTTTCCTGTTAGAGATTTTATTCAAAAACATTTAGCATCTCTTTTCTTCTTTAAAAACTTTAAACTAAATTGAAAGAGCTGTGCCAGTTGTCAACTCAAGTTGAAATGAATAATAAGTCGTGTGTTAGCCTAATGCCCTCTGCAATAGGTCAGCTTTTACAAAAAGTCTTGATTTATGATATGCAATTTTGTGAACTGTTAGGAAACAAATTATTTTAGTTCTCAGGGAGACAGAAAACTCCCTATCAGATTATTATTATTATTATTTTGAGACAGAGACTGGCTCTATCATCCAGGCTGGAGTGCAGTGGCACGATCTCGGGTCACTGCAACCTCTGCTTCCCAGGTTCAAGCGATTCTCATGTCTCAGCCTCCCTAGTAGCTAGGATTACAGGCACTCGCCACCATGCCCGGCTTTTTTTTTTTTTTTTTTTAAACTTTTAGTGGAGATGGGGTTTCGTCATATTGGCCAGGCTGGTCTTGAACTTCTGACCTCAAATGATCCACCCGCCTTGGCCTCCCAAAGTTCTGGGATTATAGGTTGTGACCCACCGTGCCCGGCCCCTATCAGGTTTTTAAAATATATGACGACTCCCAAACAAGACAGACTCATAAATTTTATTACTAACAACAAAAATTAGGATCCAGGACATCACTTCTTAAAAAGAGATCAAAAGTTAACAACTAATTTTGAAAGGCAAACTCACATTATTTTTCATAAACTAAAACTTCCAGTTTGAAAAGTCAAATTTCTTTAGAAATAAAATACTGCTAACTTACTTTTGCAAAGCATTTTCCTAAAACTTCTGAACCTAAAGCCCCAGGCAAGACCTCTCTCTAAAAGGCATGGGAACATAAAATGAATTTGACATTTAGCTTGAACTTAACTTTAGCATTTGAGCTACTCAAAGGACATGGTTGTAGGTCACATTCTAACCCGGTGTAGTGCTTCTGGTGTCACACACTAGTACAAACTCCATTTGGATACTGTTGCAACAATTCAGGTTATGTATTGCCCAGTTTCACAAACCAGTGCTAAAGTTCAGGGTACAGCCTCCTCCCATGCAGCAACCCCACCTCAAAAAAAAAAAAAAAAAAAAAAAAAAAAGCTCCACAACAGCTTGCATCTGTAATCTACCTTCTGCTACAATTTAAAACCTCCTTAATAAACAGTTATGCTTCTAAAATTCAATTACTTGCACTACAAAAGGATTCAACCAGAATCCTTTACAGAGACTGTTAACAAATCAAGAGATAAACTGTAAGTTAGGAAAATTTTAAACTAAGCTAGAAAATCTCAAAAGATTTGTGAACAAAGGAAAAGTAGCTCTGAAGCTATAACAAATGAAGAAATGACTTCAAAAATAAAGGTACCTTAATAAGTAACTTATAAAACTGCAACACACCTATATAGCAAAATGAGAAAAATACCAAGGAACAGAAGTTTAAAAAGCAAACAGCAAACCTCCTCTATCCATCAACCCTGTAATCTTATGTATTACAGAATGAAAGACCACTCAGAATAGTCAGAAAGCCACTAGTCAATGGCTTCCTAAACCCTGCTATTTCATTAGTCCTAGATGGCTCTTTTACTAAATCCACTCACACTTCCTTATTAATATTCCACAATTTTCTCTTGGAAGCACACAGCTCATTATGAAATCAGGCATATTTAAAGTACTGATTGATCTCAGAATTTATATATTTGATTGCTGCAATTTTTAAAGTATTTTCCCTTATATAAAATAATTATATGTATATTAATATTATATAGCTACATAAAAAAACAGCTATATTCCTCACAAAGTTAAACAGGGTTACAATATGACCCAGCAATTCTACTCCTAGGTATATATCCCCTCAAATTAAAAACATGTCCATACAAAAGCTTGCACACAAATGTGCACAGCACTATTCACAATAGCCAAAAGTAGAAACAACTCGATGGCCATCAACAGATGAATGGATCAACAAAATGTGGTATATAAATATAATGGAACATTATTCAGTCATAAAAAGGGAGGAAGTACTGACACATGCTCCAACATGGATGAACTCTGAAAACATGCTAAGGGAAAACATGCTAAGGAAAAGGCCACATATTACACGATCCATTTGTATGAAATGTCTCAAACACAAATCCACAGACAGAATCTGCTTTCTGTTGCCAGGGAGATGGGGAGTGACTGCTAATGGATAGGGGGTTTCTTGGGGGGTGATGAAAAACATTCTGGAACTAGATAGTGGCAGTGGCTGTACAACTTTGTGAATGTAAAAACTACTGAACTGTACACTTTAAAAGGATACATGCTATGGAATGTGAATTATACATATCAGTTTTTAAAAATTCACTCAAGGGGCTGGGCACGTGGTTCACGCCTGTAATCCCAGCACTTTGGGAGGCCAAGGCAGGTGGATCACCTGAGGTCAGGAGTTCGAGACTAGCCTGGCCAACATGGTGAAACCCCGTCTCTACTAAAAATATAAAAATTGGCCAGGTGTAATGGTGGGTGCCTGTAATCCCAGCTACTTGGGAGGCTGAGGCAGAAGAACTGTTTGAACCCAGGAGGCAGAGGTTGCAGTGAGCCAAGATCGCGCCACTGCTCTCCAGCCTGGGCACAAGGGCGAGACTCTGTCTCAAAAAAAAAAAAAAAAAAAAAATTCACTCAGGGTCATATTTGCTATCAACAGGTAGATGATGCTGGAATCTGACTTTAAGAAAATTATGGCATGTCCTGCACATGTATCCTGGAATTTAAAAAAAGTAAAATTAAAAAAAAAAAGAAAAAAAAATTATGGTAATATAATGAGAGTGGTGTCCTGACATGGCTTGAAATCTAGCTGAGGAAAATTCCAACAAGGACTTCTTGAAAGACTGAAGTCAGTGGGTGCACACACACACTCTGAAGGTGACTACTTTTTTAAAAGGACAACTCACTTTCAGAATAGAGGTTCTATAAGTACATTAAAATGATCATGACTGTTTGAAAACACCAAATTCTACCTCATCCATTCACTTCCTAAATATAATTTAGATCTTAATTTTGTTCATATGATCTTTACACCTCAAGACAACTACTTTTAAGACTGACATTACTCACAAAAACACTTCAAAATCCTGACCACGATCAAAATCAGATCCAAAGGCTGGGATATGAAATTATTTTAATTTCACTTTTAGGTTTCAAGTTTAAGCTTAAATAAACATCCCACAGTTTCATAATAAATACTTTACAACTCAATATTCAGAGGTCAAAATTTATATGGCACAGACCAGGCTGCCATTTTTAAAATAAGTGGTTTCTCTAAACTGTGGTTTAGCATGCAGAGGAGTTTTTGTTGCACATCAGTTATGAGTCAGAGTGAATAAAGAAGTTATAAACACACACACACACACACCCAGGAAAAGCATTCGAAGCACAAAAGTATCAGGAGACTGACTGGTTTTTAATTCACATATATCATCAAGAAAACTTGACCAGTGGTCTAACGGGGACAGGACTGGGAAAGGGAGTCTCAGATGAGAGACTGAGATAGGTGTCAGCCTCAGTTCCACCAATAACTAGTAGAGTAACCTTGGGGAAGTCATCTGACTCTCTGGAGGCCTGTTTTCTCATCAGTGAGGTGAAAAAAACTAGACTCCAAGGTTTCTAAGTGTTACAATTCTCAACAGTCTTTGATTCTATTGTTAAGTAGCATAAGGCTGTGGGAAGCCCAGGTATTACAACATGCAGTTCTCATATTTTTGTGCACCTAGGAAGCCATGCCACGTAGAGTAATAAGAGAACTCAGAATTAGCCACAGGGAAGAAGGAACAAGAAAAGTGTACACGGCTCCCGCTAGTACTGGTTTACTCCTGTTGGACCTAGTAAAGAGAAAGCACCTTTGACAATTTTCTAGAGAATGATAGGAGTGGTTCCTATGTCTCACCACACCCAACATAGTCAGTTTTTCCGAAACGAAATACAGTGGGGACTATACAAAATGTTGTGAAGCACCAAGCACTATTAGTCACTGCATGACTAATAGGACAGATCAATTTTAAATTAAAGAAACAAAAGAGATTTCTCTTTCTCATATAAAAAGAAAGAAACAGCTTTCATTCCAGTCAAGGAGTCCTAGATGACCACAGTGAATAATCTGTTACACGGATACTCAGTAATAAATATGGTGTCAATTCAAAGAAAATTAATTATCTACAGAACCAAAAGGTTCAAAAGCACTTAAGTTCAACGTAACGTTATTACTCAACATAGCCTTTTAATGTAATTCAGGTTGTAACTCCAACCTCTAGAGTTGACAGCAGTATTAAAGAGTCATTCAAAGTCATCACCTTAGCCAGACACTGTGGCTCACACCTGTAATCCTAGCACTTTGGGAGGCTGAGGCAGGTGGATGACATGAGGTCAGGAGTTCGACACCAGCCTAGGCAACGTGGCGAAACCTCATCTCTACTAAAAAAATACAAACAATTAGCCGGGTGAGGTGGCACATGCCTGTAGTCCCAGCTACTCGGAAGGCTGAGGCACAAGAATCGCTTGAAGCTGGGAGGCAGAGGTTGCAGCGAGCCAAAATCGTGCCACTGCACTCCAGCCTGGGTGGCAGAGCAAGACTCTATCTCAAAAAAAAAAAAAAGTCATCACCTTTTACGGTATCAACTAAATAGAAGTCACCATCATATGAACTGGTTCAGGACAGCCAAGGATCAAATGAGGCCAACTCATGAAGTTATTTCAGGTGGCTTCCAAGACTGCCGTCCGGAAGAGCTCCTCCACAACAGGACAGTCCTGGAGAACCTGTCCTTCACTGCCCCTATCCCCCACCATTTGCATATGTGCATGCTTGATCTTTGTCAAACATGGCTAACAACCACCTTTTGGTCACATCAGCTACCAGTATCTGACTGTGTCTGCTGGCATTCCCTTCAAGGGTACAGAGCTGGGGTTCTTGATCTGATTCCTATGCATGGACCTCCAGGTGGTATCAGAGGAGTCATGGAGTCAGCAAAGTTCCTAAGAGCCCATGCAAAATTTTATCTCTGTGCACAGGGTCCTGATCCTCAGGGGTTGTGAATCAAGGAAAGCTAAAAACCACTGGTTTAGTGCTACATACAAAACAGGAATCTACTGAAGGTGCCCGTGACACCTGTCATTTGAGGTGCAGAACAAAGGGTGCCATCTATTCAAAGCAAAAGTAAAATATGGGCTGGGCGCGGTGGTTCATGCCTGTAATCCCAGCAGTTTGGGAGGCCGAGGCTGGTGGATCACCTGGGGTTAGGAGTTCGAGTACAGCCTGGCCAACATGATGAAACCCCGTTTGTACTAAAAATACAAAAATTAGCCGGGCGTGATGGCGCGCGCCTGTAATCCCAGCTACTCAGGTGGCTGAGGCAGGGGAATCACTTAAACCCGGGAGGCGGAGGTTGCAGTGAGCCGAGATGGCGCCATTGCACTCCAGCCTGGGCAACAAGAGCGAAACTCCATACCCGCACCCCCCACCCACCAAAAAAAAAAAAGAAAAGAACAAAAGAAAATGTGATATGATGGTCAGAAGCTGTAGTCACTAAGGGTCAGATCGTCCATTCCCTTTATCCCCTAGTCCAGATAAACCAAAGGAGACTCAAGAGAGACTCTGCCCAAGACCACAAATCACAGAGCTACTAAGTGGCAAAGCTGAGCATCAAAGTTCACTGGATTTCCACCAGGATGTCAGGGCATGAAATTATGTTTATACTTTTTTAGAATGGGTTTGACCAAAATCCCCCCAATTCTTGTAAATATCCCACTCCATTAAGAAGGTAGCCTTCCAAAATTTTATTGTATTTTTTTTGAGACGGAGTCTTGCTCTGTTACCCAGGCTGGAGTGCAGTGGTGTGATCTCGGCTCACCGCAACCTCCATCTCCCAGGTTCAAGCAATTCTCCTGCCTCAGCCTCGCTAGTAGCTGGGACTACAGGCGTGTGCCACCACACCTGCCTAATTTTTGTATTTTTTAGTAGAGACGGGGTTTTGCCATGTTGGCCAGGCTGGTCTCGAACTCCTAACCTCAGGTGATCCGCCCACCTCCGCCTCCCAAAGTGCTGGGATTACAGGCGTGAGCCACCACGCCCGGTCTAGCCTTCCAAAATTTTAAAATCAAGCTTCCATATAGAATTTGATACATTTAAATACTCCCCAAATCATCAATCAAGTCACGGATCTTTCACAAAAGTCGCATACAGATTTTTTATTTTATTTTTTTTTTGAGACGGAGTCTCGCACTGTCGCCCAGTCTGGAGTGCAGTGGCACGATCTTGGCTCACTGAAGCCTCCACCTCCCTGGTTCAAGAGATTCTCCTGCCTCAGCCTGTTGAGTAGCTGGGACTATAGGCATGCGCCATCACGCCCGGCTAATTTTTGTATTTTTAGTAAAGACTGGGTTTCACCATATTGGTCAGTCTGGTCTTGAACTCTTGACCTCATGATCCACCCGCCTCAGCCTCCCAAAGTGCTGGGATTATAGGAGTGAGCCACCACGCGCAGCCCAGCATACAGATTTATGAGGTGAACCTTAGAGGCTCATTATCCCCTATCCTATGTTATGAACACAACTTTAAGAAGCAACACAGGGGCCAGGCTCACACTTGTAATCCCAGCACCTTGGGCGGCCGAGGCGAACACGAGGCCGATCACGAGGTCAGGAGTTCGAGACCGGCCTGGCCAACACAGTGAAACCCCATCTCTACTAAAAATACAAAAATTAGCTGGACATGGTGATGGGCGCCTATAATCCCAGCTACTCGGGAGGCTGAAGCAGGAGAATCGCTTGAACCGGGGAGGCGGAGGCTGCAGTGAGCCAAGATTGCGCCACTGCACTCCAGCCTGAGTGACAGAGGTAGACTCCGTCTGAAAAAAAAAAACGCAGCACAGGTCACAAGCTCATTGAGTGAGGCACTTCTAAATGTATCAGGGAAGACAGCCACTGACAGCTGACTTCGGGGTGGATTTGTACAATTTCAATCTGCAAGCTGCAGGACCTTTCTAAGTCTCCCTCTCATGTTAATATCAATAGCGTTGCCTAAACATTAAATGCTTTTTCTTCAACCCAGGTAATGGGGTCATTCATAAATTAAACTGAGAACAACCTTTCCAGTCCCATGTTCACAAACACTACATGTAGTAGAACCAAAGATACTAGGCAATTATTCTGAGATCAGATTAAAAAATAATTACTGTCATAAAAAAGTTACAGAATCATTTGTTCCAATGCCAAACTCTGCCTCAGCATATGAAATTTAAAGTAACCAAAAACTTAGTCTCACCTGGGAAGGGAAATCAAAGTGACATTTGAACCCAAGTTCAATGACAACACGTCCTTCAATTTCAAAGCGAGCGCATTGCTTTATTCATTCAAAGAGTTTTAACGGCACAATATCCCATAGCATACACAAAATCTCCTAAGGCGTACATTATGGTAAAGTTTCTGACTGCTTGTGAACTATATTTAGCCCTTTCTGCCAGCTCTCTCCGTAGTCTCCCACCCCCAAAAGGTATAACTGGAATAGGCCTCAGGGAGCACCTGTGGCCTGAAAAGGCTGTGACCAATCCTCAGAGCTTTACCGGCTGCAATCTACAAGTAGGCTCGACCATTCTATTTTGGATCAAGGAGACTCTGCCAACCCCCAAGTGACCGCAAGTGGACAAGATCAATTTGGGAGAAAACGCTGTGAGGGTTTTTTCGCCAAGCCAGCAGCCCCCACCGCCACACTCCGAAAAGGGTGAAGATTTGGTTACCATCCAGGCGGCGAAAGAATACGGCCGGGCTGTCTGGGGGCTCACGACTGCCTGTCGGCCGGCGATCCCGCAGCCTGGGCCGGGCTGTGGTGTCGGGAGCACGCGAAGAGGCAGGGATCCCCGGGGCATGCGGAGAGGGAACCAGAACGAGGTTAGGAGCCTGCAGGTGTCGCCCAGGGAGGGGACGAGGTCGCCCAGGGCTGGCACGGCCGAGTGAGACCGAGAGTGTGGCTCTGGACTCGGACAGACCGGTCACACTCTCGGGTTGTGACCTTGAGCACACGACTTGACCGCTGTGCGCCTTAGTTTCCTCCTCTCTAAAATGGGGGTCGTTCAAGCGGAAAACGCGCCTCGGAGCGCTTGGCACGGCGCCTGGCGCATAGTAAGCGCTCCCTCCATGTGAGCGCTCTGGCTCCTTTCGCCGCCGGGAGGAACTGGGGAAGCCCCGCGCGGGGAGTCCCCGGGAGGCGGATCCGAGGCTGGGGCAAGGGAACCGGGTCGGGGACTCACCGAGCACGTCCGCGGAACGGTGCCGGGCCACGAAGCACGCGTCGTCCCCGTAGCACGCGCCCTTCTTGAGGAGGCCCTTACGGAAGTCCTTCCCGAAGCCGCAGCCGGCCGTCACCAGTCCGTAGTCGCCGCCGCCGCCGCCGCCGGCCCTGGGGTCGGTCTGCGAGAGGCCGCCGAGCACGGCGCGGGCCACCAGCCGCCCGTACGAGAGGACCGAGAACATCGCCGCCGCCGCCCCCCCGAGGAGGCGGGGGGCCGGGGGAGCAGGAGGACGCGGAGGCCCGGAGCCGGCTCTCTCCTCAGCCGCAGTCGCGCCGCCGCTGGGGCGCTCCTCAGGGCGGCGCGCAGTGGCCGCCGCCGCCCCTGCCCGACGCGCGGGGCCTCGCACGCGCTCAGCCGCGCGCACCGGAGCCAGAGCGAGGTCAGAAGCGGCGGCTCCTCCGCCTCAGCCCAACTGAAGTCCCGGCTGCAGCGGCCGCCGCCGCCGCCGCCATCTTCCGCTCCACTAGCGTGTTCCGGGCGGTGCCGGCAGCACCGCCCCCTCCCTGGCCCTGCCCCTAGCCCCGCCCCGATTCACCGCTCAGGCCCAAGCCCAGCCCCTTGGGCTCGCTGCCTTATGCAGTCACCAAGGTTGAACATGCGCAGAGGGTGCGGACGCAGTGTCTCTTGGGAATTATAGTCCCGGAGTCGTAGTCACTTTTGACTTGGCTGCCAAAGATTTAGGACCTAGGGGGATTCCTCAGACGCGGGACCTATGTTAAGTTAGTAGGAATTGCAGGTGGGCCACGTGAGGGTTTTCTACCCTGTTTTAACCGTATCTTTTAAAGCCTGTTTTAAATAAATAACGCCACCATTCCTTTAAACAAAAACCTGCAAGAAACCAGAATGGAGTCACATAATGAGAAACAGAGGTACACAGATCTAGTGACACCTCCCCAAGTAATATACTGGAAGGATTTAGGGCGGCAAACTGTTTGGAAAGAAGAGACTTTTTGTAGTCTTTTAGGAAAAATTGAGAAAATGTTATGTGTCCCTATCAGAGTGGGAGGGGACACAGATGGTGTCATGTCCCTTTTGCTAACTGGCCTCTAGCCATGCTCACAGCTGTCTCAAGACCTTTGCCCTTGCTTTCGCTTCTACCCTTTGGAATGTAATTCGTTTACCTGAGGGTCCTGTGTTTTCTGTTGCTGTATCCCCAGAACACGTGAGCACCCAGTAAATATGTGAATGAATGAAAGAATGAATGAATATTTCACTAGATTCTAAGTTTCCCAAGGACAAGGATCATTTGCTGCTCAATTATTAGAATCTAAAGCAATGCCTGGCACACAGTAGGAGAGTGTGTAAATGTCTGTGGAATAAAAGAAGGAATAATGGGCTGGGCGTGGTGGCTCACACCTGTAATCCCAGCACTTTGGAAGGCCGAGGTGGGCAGATCACTTGAGGTCAGGAGTTCAACACCAGCCTGGCCAACATGGTCTCTACTGAAAATACAAAAAAAAATTAGCTGGGCTTGGTGACAAACGATTGTAATGCCAGCTACTCAGGAGGCTGAGACAGGAGAATCGCTTGAACCTGGGAGGCAGAGGTTGCAGTGAGCCGAGACAGCGCCACTGCATTCCAGCCTGGGAGACAGAGCTGGACTCCATCTCAAAAAAAAAAAAAGGAAGGAGTAATGGAATAAGAACACAAATGATAAAAGAAAGTCATGTTTGTTGAATACAGGAATGATTGAGTGAATGGGGTTCACAAACAACAGAAAATGAGCTTTGGGGCAAGTAATTCAATTTAGAGTAATTTTTAGTTTGATTGAAACATATATTTCTCAGAAACAGCAGTCTTTTTCTAGTTCACTTTTAACAAGACCATTGTTACTTTGGGGATTCCCACCTCGTTTTTAAATGGTCCTTTTTTATGCTTTCTTAATATATTTAAAATGCTGCCAACTATCAACTCAACACATATTATTCCGTTATCCTAATTACTGTCATCATTAAACACTTTTGCAGTTCACAGTGTGCCAAGTACTGTCTATATATATGTTTCTGTCTTTAAGAGCTTTCATCAAAATTGGACGGAAGAAATGACTTCACGTAGTGGCATTTTGTCAAATATACAGAACCCAGAAAATGTTCATTTACTGGATAAATGGTATAGTAATGACAATAATGCATTCACACCTTCCTTTTTTTTAATGGCACAAGAATTGGAGAGTGCCCAGAAGAGGGGGTAGTGCCTCTCGGAATCCTCTACTTGGCATTTATATTGCTGCCAGCTGTGCTAAAGGTAGCTCTTTCAAGTACACATACCACTACCAGATCCCAGTCAGTCTGGCAGGTAATTCTACCCCAAGGACAAACTTTTTAAAATAGCATGTCAACCCTATTTCTTGCCTCGTCAAACTCCTTCAGACTGCTCCTACTTTTCCTTTTCAGGGCATATATTACCTAATTTCCATGTCAGTCACAAGAACTGGTTTGATGGGATGAGTAGGAACCTAAAATGTGACTCTAAAGCCAGTAACTTCTGCTCCGATGGGGCTGCTGTTTTCATGATTAAGTGATACCAGTGCCTTGAGTTTCCGGCAAATGAATTTCCTGCAAGTGAGTTTCCTGCAAATGAGTTGCCCACAGAAGCACGTGGCGAACAGAATCCTTCTCAAAGCTCCTTTGCAAGTTTTAAAGGAACAGGAGATAGGGCCTCGGGTTCTCTTGAATCATTTATTCCAGAGCCAGCTCTGAAGTTTCATCACCATGGGGGAAGCCAGGAGAGGGTACTTTACAAAACACCTCCCTTCCCGTTCCTTCTCCCAGGAACACAATTCACGTTTGACATTTTGTTGGACTTAAAAAGGCCTGGATTTTCTTCCTTAACAGAGTTACATTCCTAGCACTTCAGGGATTCCTGAGAGGTCAGTTGCCACTCTTAAAGGTGAACAAGTGTGGTGAAAATACCATCTGGGCTCCCAGGGCACCTCTATGACATTAGGAAAGAGCTTTGCACTAAAGTCAGCCTCCGCTCCTAAAAAAACCAAACAAACAACAACAACAAAAAGAAGGCATGACATTTCCTAGTGAGATTTTCTGCCAGACTGGTAGGTTGATCTCTTTGGGTTCCTTTTTGCTAACCTATTCACAATGAGCACTAATTAGCTTACAGCAAGGTGTCTCAAGCTTGACACTATTGACATTTTGGGCAGGATGATTCTTTGCTGTTAGGGCTGTCCTGTGCATGCGTTGGAGGGGGCTTAGCAGCATCCCTGGCCTCTACCCACTAGAAGCCAGAAGCATGCCACCTCTGTGCCCCCAGGACAACCAAAACTGTCTCCAGATATTGCCAAATGTCCCCTGGGGGGCAAAATTGCTCCCTGATTTAGAGCCACTGTATTACGGCAATGCCATGCAAATGAGCAAATATTTGTTGAGCACTTATTATGTTCAAGTCTCTAGGCTAAGGATAAAAAAAATCAGTGATTTTGTGGCAGTCACAGTGCAGTAGGAAGGTTAAAATTAAGTAAATGTATTAAAATAATAATAACAGACTGGGTGCGGTGGCTAATGCCTGTAATCCCAGCACTTTGGGAGGCCGAGTGGGGGGTGGATCACTTGAGGTCAGAAGTTCGAGACCAGCCTGGCCAACATGGCGAAACCCTGGGTCTACTAAAAATACAAAAATTAGCTGGGAATGGTGGTGCACGCCTGTGATCCCAGCTAGTTGGGAGGCTAAGGCAGGAGAATCACTTGAACCCGGGAAGTAGAGGTTGCAATAGGCCAAGATCACGCCACTGCACTCCAGCTGGGGCAACAGAGCAAGGCTCTGGCTCAAAGTAAATAAATAAAATAATAATAAGCACCACAAGCTGAAATAAAGGAGGGGTCTGGGAAGGGGAAATGAGACCCTCTGGGGTTAGAGAACACCTGGGGCACTTCACAAAGACATGACATTTGTGAGAGGCCTGAACGGACAGACAAGTCTCTCTGTCTGTCATGCGGCATAACCAGCTCAAGAGGAGGAAAAGGATATTCAATGAATGCAGAATGTGATTGGAGAAGAGCAATGCAACCTTAGGATCTGAAAAACGAATAATAATAAATGGTGGGGCTGGGCCAGGTGCAGTGGCTCACGCCTGTAATCCAAGCACTTAGGGAGGCCAAGGCGGGTGGATCACTTGAGGTCAGGGGTTCCAGACCAGCCTGGCCAACATGGTGAAACCCCATCTCTACTAAAAATACAAAAATTAGCCGGGCGGTAGTGGCGTGCACCTGTAATCCCAGCTACTCGGGAGGCTGAGGCAAGAGAATCACTTGAGCCTGGGAGGCGGAGGTTGCGGTGAGCCAAGATCATGCCACTGCACTCCAGTCTAGGTGACAGAGTGAGACCCTGTCTCAAAAAAAAAAATGGTGAGGCTAAGAGCTGGGCAAGCTGGCAAGTGCCTGTAGTCCCAGTTACCTGGGAGGCTAAGGTTATAGAGTGTCAGGATGGAGCCTGTGAATTGCTACTGCACTCCACCCTGGACAATGTAGTGAGACCCCATTTCTAAAACAAACAAAAGCAGTATTTTAAGGAGTCAGACACAAAATACCACATACTGTATGATTCCATTTATATGAAATGTCCAGAATAGGCAAATCCATAGAGACAGAAAGTAGATTAGTGGTTGCCAGGGACTTGGGGAAGGGACAAATGGGGAGTGACTGCTCATGGGTACAGGGTTTCTATTTGGAGTGGTGAAAATATTCTGGAAGTAGATAGTGGCAATGGTTGCACAAGTTTATAAATATATGAATAATCGCTGAACTATACACTTTAAAAAGGTGAATATGGCCGGGCATGGTGGCTCATGCCTGTAATCCCAGCACTTTGGGAGGCCGGGGCAGGAGGATTGCTCGAGTCCAGGAGTTCAAGACCAGCCTGGGCAACATAGTGAGACCTCTTCTCAATAAAAAATCAAAAAATTCCTGTAATCCCAGCACTTTGGGAGGCTGAGGCGGGCAGATCACGAGATCAGGAGATCGAGACCATCCTGGCCAACATGGTGAAAACCCGTCTCTACTAAAAAATACAGAAAAAATTAGCTAAGCATGGTGGCCCGTGCCTGTAATCCCAGCTACTAGGGAGGCTGAGGCAGGAGAATCACTTGAACCAGGGAATCAGAGGTTGCAGTGAGCCAAGATTGCGCCACGGCACTCCAGCCTGGCGACAAAGCGAGATTCCATCTAAAAAAAAAATTTGGCTGAGTATACTGGTGCACATCTACAGTCCCAGCTACTTGAGAGGCTGAGGTGGGAGGATTGCTTGAGCATGGGAGGTCAAGACTGCAGTGAACTGTGATCGTGCCACTGCACTTCAGCTTAGGCAGCACAAGTGAGACCCTGTCTCAAAAAACGGGGTGGGGGGATGAATATTATGTGATTTATATCTCAATTAAAAAATAATTTAGTGCCAGGCATGGTGGCTCATGCCTGTAATTCCAGCACTTTGAGAGGCCGAGGTGAGCGGATTACCTGAGGTCAGGATTTCGAGACCAACCTGGCTAATATGGTGAAACCCTGTCTCTACTAAAATATAAAAATTAGCCAGGTGTAGTGGTGGGCGCCTGTAATCTCAGCTACTCGGGAGGCTGAGGCAGGAGAATCACTTGAACCCAGGAGGCGGAGGTTGCAGTGAGCTAAGTTCATGCCACTGCACTCCAGCCTGGGCGACAGAGTGAGACTCTGTCTCAAAAAAATAATAAGAAGAATTTAGGACCTAATGCAGGGGGTCTTATATGCTAAGCTGAGGCTACTTAATGCTGGAGACAGCAAGGGGTCACCAAATGCCTTTAATATGCCAAATAATAATAGTGGTAATGATAATAACAAGAATAAGAGCAATGGAGCCCATGGGTTAAGCATGTACCATGTGTTTTGCCTGCATCCGCATCCTCTTCTCTTTTTTTTTTTTGAGACAGAGTCTCACATTGTTGCCCAGGCTGGAGTGCAGTCATGCGATCTCAGCTCACTGCAACCTCCACCTCCCGAGTTCAAGTGATTCTCCTGCCTCAGCCTCCTGAGTAGTTGAGACTACAGGCGTGTGCCACCATGCCTGGCTAATTTTTGTGTTTTTAGTACAGACAGGGTTTTCCCATGTTGGCCAGGCTGATCTCAAACTCCTGGCCTCAAGTGATCTGCCCACCTCAGCCTCCCAAAGTGCTGGGATTACAGGTGTGAGCCACCACACACCTGGCCTGCATCCTCTTCTCTGATCACTTTTTTTTTTTTTTTTTGAGACAGAGTCTTGCTCTGTGGCCAGGCTGGAGTGCAATGGCGTGATCTCGGTTCACTGCAACCTCCACCTCCTGCGTTCAGGTGATTCCCCTGCCTCAGCCTCCTGAGTAGCTGGGACTACAGGCACATGCCACCACGCCCAGCAAATTTTTTTTTTGTATTTTAGTAGAGATGGGGTTTCACCATGTTGGCCAGGATGGTCTCGACCTCCTGACCTCGTGTTCTACCTGCCTCGGCCTCCCAAAGTGCTGGATTTACAGGCATGAGCCTCCGTGCCTGGCCTGATCACCTATTTAAATCACCCAATAGTGCCATCTGCATTTTTCTTCATAACACATAGTGCTTATTTATTTTGTTGAATGTTTGTCTCCTCCCTGACTAAATGATAAATGCCACGAGAGCAGGAAATTTTGTCTGTTTTATTCATGACTTTAGGCCAGATGCAGTGGCTCACGCCTGTAATCCCAGTATTTTGGGAGGCGGAGGCAGGAGGATCACTTGAGGCCAGGAGTTCAAGACCAGCCTGGACAATATAATGAGACCCTGTCTGTACAAAGAAAAAAAAAAAAACCCAAAAACTGGCCAGGTGTGGTGGCATACACCTGTAGTCCTACTCAAGAGGCTGAGATGGGAGAATCACCTGAGCCAGGGGAGGTGGAAGTTGCCATGAGCTGTGATCATACCAGTGTACTCCAGGCTGGGCAACAGAGTGAGGCCTTGTATAAAAAAGAAAAAAAAAAAAGACTTTATATGGTGTCCAAAATAATGTCTGGCATATAATAGGTGCTAAATAAATAACCTAACAAGTGAATGCTGTTGAATACAAGAACCTGGGAAATCACATGTAACAAGCAACAAGCTGAAGAAAGCGTTGAGTAATATATTCAACTCGCTAGGCAGAGCTGGGCTGAACTGGAGAAGTGTCCCTGAGACACTTAATGCCTTCACTGCAAAGCCCTTTCGAAGTCACTAACCTTTGGCTGTTCTTTCCCTTTAACTCATCTTGCTTTGCGTCATGTGTGATGGTCATGTTTTTCCCCCCTAGAATCCATTCTCCTGCTTCTCTGATTATTGTATTTTGATTTTCCTTGGAGGAACAATCCAACACCCCCTAGGTTCATGCAGTTTATGTGGAACTGGACCAGGGCTCCAAGGATGAACATGTGGCCTAGGTCTGGCCAATCACAGCATTATATTCTGTTGCTAGCAGTGGTTGGTCCAGAGAGAAGGCACATGACCCAAGCCAGACCAAGGAAACTTCATTATGGGATTTTGCTGAAAGTGTTAGGAAGGAGAAATTATCACCAAGGTTTGTTTCTAAGCTGGTAGAATGCAAGCTTGGAGCTGCTGATGGCCATTTTTTTCTTTTCTTTTGTTGTTGTTGTTATTGTTGAGATGGAGTCTTGCTCTGTTGCCCAGGCAGGAGTGCATTAGTGCGATCTTGGCTCACTGCAACCTCGCCTCTCGGGTTCAAGCAGTTCTCCTGCCTCAGTCTCCCAAGTAGCTGGGATTACAGGCAGCTGCCACCACGCCTGGCTAATATTTGTATTTTTAGTAAAGATGGGGTTTTACCATGTTGGCCAGGCTGGTCTTGAACTCCTGAACTCAAGTGATCTGCCCATCTCAACCTCCCGAAGTTCTGAGATTACAGGTGTGAGCCACCGTACCCGGTCTGATGGCCATTTTTGCTGATACTTGGGAAGAACCAGCCTGAGAATGAAGTCAATACAGAGAGAAGCAGAGCCTAGAGATGGTAAGAAACAGAGGCCTGGTAAATGTCAATCAAACCCTGAATCCAGCTTTGCCTGAGGGAGGATCAGTCTCTGAACTAATATGAGTTCCCTATGTTGCTTTAGCCACTTTGATTTTGCCTTGTAATGCAGTGAATTCTAACAAACACATCACGTGATCCAAGTACCATGACTACAGTTACTAAATCAAAAACAAATCCCGAAACCAAAAGCAACTGTTTGAAGGGAACTTATCCTCTACTTACTTATATAAGCAGAGAGGGAACTTCCGCTTTTCAATAGAGAAGCTACTGAAGGAAAACTCATCCCTTTCTCTGGTACCTCCATGAGTGAGGAGTGATTTGCCTAATAGTGGGTTTGGGAGAAGATGCTGAGTTTGTTGCCTGGTCCCTTTCTCTTTTTTTCTTTTTGCTATGGCCTGACCTTTAGACACTGCTGTTTTCCTCCTTCACCATGAGGAGCCTGTCCCTGTGAAAGACATTTGCAGTAACCCAGCCTGTGGCTGGGTAAATTAGTTTAATCCAGAGGGAAATTGCATGCACCACTAAAGCCACATTCTCCAATCAGCCTTATCCAGAAAACAAACTCTAGAGCTCTAGTTTCCTGATTCATATATCTTTTTCTCAGTGGATTTGGAATTTGGAAAGGCTAAGGAGGGTGCAATTAATTATCAGCCCCATGAAACCCCAACATGTTAATTTACATATTTTCTTTAGAAAACTTTGAGAGGCAGTCCTGTGGAGATCAAATTTCTGGTGTTGTCAGGGCTCCAGGCTTAAAGGTAATTACGGGTCAAGTGTGTTCCTGACCTGGGTAGTTTGTGACAGTTACAGTGGTTCCACAGGATTTTAACTGGCTGGAGCCTGAGTACAAGGGCCTCTAGGGCAGGCCTTGACCTAACTCATGTGAGTACAGCCTTGACCTCAGCAGGCAGGCGGGACAGGGATTCGATTATTGGGGGAAAAGTCTTTCTGTCCCAGAGCAGGCTTACCTTCAAAAGGGCAGAACTTTAGTTTACCAACCTGTAGACTCCGGCGGGTAGATTTTTGCTTTTTGTAATACCTCTTTAAGCAACACTTGCGGCTGGGCAAGTTGACTTTGATTTGTGAATTGCATGAACTTTGATCACGGTTTAGCATTTGGAGAGCTCAGACTCTGGCTTTACCCATAGAATGGGGGTATATTTTATTAGTGAAAACAAATGAAAAGAACAGGGCCCTTATTGTATAGGAGATATGCTTCTTTGCGGGTGGAGGTAGATAAATTGAATGAAGACCCATAAGATAAGAAAACAGTGAGGCTTATGCCTTGAAACTTTTGTTTCTGAGAAACAGGTTTGCTTGAGAAATCAAGGAGGACCTGGACCTGGGTTGTTTGGTTTTGTTTTTTTGTGGGTTTTTTTTTTTTGAGCCAGGGTCTTACTCTGTTGCCCAGGCTGGAGTGCATGGAGTGCACGGTGCGATCTTGGCTCACTGCAACTTCCACCTCCCAGGTTCAAGCAATCCTCCCGCCTCAGCTTGGCAAGTAGCTGGGACTACAGGCGTGAGCCACCAACACTTGGATTTTTTTTTATTTTTTGTAGAGACAGGGTTTTACCATGTTGGCCAGGCTGGTCTTGAACTCCTGAGCTCAAGCAGTCCGCCTGCCTCAGCCTCCCAAAGTGCTGGGATTACAGGTGTGAGCCACCGTGGCCAGCCTGGGTTGTGTGTGGTTTTTTTTTTTTTTTGAGATGGAGTCTCACTCTGTCACCCAGGCTGAAGTGCAGTGGTGCAATCTTGGCTCACTGCAGCCTCCGCCTCCTGGGCTCAAGCGATTCTCATGCTTCAGCCTCCCGAGTAGCTGGGGTTACAGGCATGTGCCACCACACCCAGCCAATTTTTAAAAATTTTTAGTAGAGACAGGGTTTCACCATGCCTCCGCTGCTGAAAGTGCTGGGATTACAGGCATTAGCCACCGCACCTAGCCTGGGTTGTGTTTTAAAATATGCTTCTGGGCTGGGCATGGTGGCTCATGTCTGTAATCCCAGCACTATGGGAGGCCAAGGTTGGTGGATCATCTGAGATCGGGTGTTTGAGACCAGCCTGGCCAACATGGTGAAACCCCATCTCCACTAAAAATACAAACATTAGCTGGGTGTGGTGGTGGCGCATGCCTGTAATCCCAGCTACTTGCGAGGCTGAGGCAGGAGAATCCCTTGAACCCAGGAGGTGGAGGTTGCAGTGAGCTGAGATTCAGCCAGCCTGGCCTGGGCAACAAAGTGAGACTCCGTCTCTAAATAAATAAATAAATAAATAAATAAATAAATAAATATAAAAAAAATATGCTTCTGTTGTGCTACCAGAACAGAACCAGCAGAAGAGTGAAAGACAAATAAAGGAAGATCTGCTGACTAAACTGGAGGAGGGTGGGATTTTTTTTTAAAAAAAACATGATCTTGCTCTATCACCCAGGCTGGAGTGCAGTGGCCCGATCATAGCTCACTGCAGCCTCAAACTCCTGGGCTCAAGCAATCCTCCCACCTCAGTCTCCCAAAGTGCTGGGATTACAGGGATCTTTTATAAAGAGCTAGAACTGTGATCTTAGTAGACAAGCCAAACAGATGTGGAAGAGAAGTGAATTTTTGAAGGCTTAACTAGGGGGATATATATATATATATATATACATATATGTATATATATATATATATATATTTTTTTTTTTTTTTTTTTTTGAGATGGAGTTTCACTCTTGTTGCCCAGGCTGGAGTGCAATGACACGATCTCGGCTCACCACAACCTCCGCCTCCCGGGTTCAAGCAATTCTCCTGCCTCAGCCTCCCGAGTAGCTGGGATTACAGGTATGCACCACCACACCCAGCTAATTTAGGATTTTTAGTACAGACGGGGTTTCTCCATGTTGGTCAGGCTGGTCTCAGGTGATCCACCTGCTTCAGCCTCCCGAAGTGCTGGGATTACAGGCGTGAGCCACCGCGCCCAGCCCGCTAGGTAGATATTAAGAGAAGAGACCCACAAATATACAACAACTTGAAAGGAAGTTGCAGTAATATTACAAATTACGGGAAAAAATAATATACATATATTTTGAGACAGTGTTTTACTCTGTCACCCAGGCTGGAGTGCAGTGGTGCAGTCTCGGCTCACTGTAGCCTCTACCTCCCAAGCTCAAGTGATCCTGCCACCTCAGCCTCCTGAGTACAGGAACTACAGGTGTGTGCCAACACACCTAGCTAACTTTCTTTTTTTTTGAGATGGAGTCTCACTCTGTCACCCAGGCTGGAGCGCAGGGGTGCGATCTCGGCTCTCTGCAAGCTCTGCCTCCCGGATTCACGCCATTCTCCTGCTTCAGCCT
Source organism: Homo sapiens (assembly GCF_000001405.40). Lineage (NCBI taxonomy): Eukaryota > Metazoa > Chordata > Mammalia > Primates > Hominidae > Homo > Homo sapiens. The sequence goes on from NC_000012.12 coordinate 110,594,174, forward strand.
CCTGAGTAGCTGGGACTACAGGCACCTGCCACCAAGCCCAGCTAATTTTTTCTATTTTTAGTAGAGATGGGTTTCACCGTGTTACACACCTGGCTAACTTTTGTATTTATTTTTTATTTTTTTTACAGACGAGGTTTCACCATGTTCCCCCTGCTGACCTCGAAATCCTGAGCTCAGGCAATCCACCTGTCTTGGCCTCCCAAAGTTCTGGGATTACAGGTGTGAGCCACCGTGGCTGGCCAAAAAATAAATTATTTTTTAAATGGTGTGAGAACATTGGTTATCTCTCTGAAAAATTAAACGGTGGGCTAGGCATGGCGGCTCACGCCTATAATCTCAGCACTTTGGGAGGCCGAGGCGGATAAATCACTTGAGGCCAGGAGTTTGAGACTAGCCTGATCAACATAGCGAAATCCAATCTCTACTAAAATACAGAAATTAACTGGTGTGGTGGCTTATGCCTGTAGTCCCAGCTACTCAGGAGGCTGAGGCAAGAGAATCGCTTAAGCCCAGGAGGCAGAAGTTGCAGTTAGCCAAGATCATGCCACTGCACTCCAGCCTGGGCAACAAAGTGAGACTCTGTCTTTAAAAAAAAAAAAGTTAAACTGGGTCCCAAACTCACATTATATACAAGAGTAAATTCCAAGAGTAAAAAGAAATATTGAAAAGTCTTAGAATAAAATATAGAATATTGGGATAAGAAATGGCAGCTTCAATAATATATAAAAGTGCACAAGCTGTTAAGGAAAATTTAGATCAACTTGACCACATTAAAAGATACAGTTTAGCTGGGTGCGGTGGTTCACACCTGTAATCCCTGCACTTTGGGAGGCCGAGGTGGGCGGATTGCTTGAGCCCAAGAATTTGAGACCAGCCAGGCCAACATGGTAAAATCCCATCTCTACTAAAATACAAAAATTAGCCGGGCATGGTGGCACATGCCTGTAGTCCTAGCTACTCGAGAGGCTGAGGTGAGAGGATCGCTTGAGCCCGGGAGGTTGAGGCTCCAGCCTGGGTGACACAGTAAGACCCTGTTTCAAAAAAAAAAAAAAAAAAGTAATAAAAGTTCCTCAAAATTGATCAAAGATCTGTGTGTCAGAGCCAAAACTATAAAATTCTTAGAAAAAAAACAGAGGGAGAAAGCTTCATGACATTGGATTTGGCCGTGATTTTTTTGGATACGACACCAAAAGCACAGGCAACAAAAGAAAAAATACATCAGTTGGATTGTATCAAAATTTAAAGCTTCTGTGCATCAGACACAATCAACAAAAAGGCAAGCAACAGAATGAGGGAAAATTTTTGCAAGTCATATATTTGATAAAGGATTAATATCCAGATAATATGGCTCACACCTGTCACCCTAGCACTTTGGGAGGCTGAGCAGGGAGGATCGCTTGAGCTCAGGAGTTCAAGACTAGCCTGGGCAACTTAGCAAGACCTCATCTCTACTAAAAATAAAAAAAACTATCCAGGAGTTGTGGCACACACCTGTAGTCCCAACTATTTGGGAGGCTGAGGTGAAAGGATTGCTTGAGCCCAGGAGGATGAGGCTGCATTGAGCCGTGATCATGCCACAGCATTCCAGCCTGGGAGACAGAGGAAGACTTTGTCTCTACAAAACAAAAACAAAAACAAACAAACAAACAGAAAAACAGAATACAGGCCAGGTGCGGTGGCTCACGCCTGTAATCCCAGCACTTTGGGAGGCCAAGGTGGGCAGATCACCTGAGGTCGGGAGTTCGAGTTGCCTGACCAACGTGGAGAAACCCCGTCTCTACTAAAAATACAAAATTAGCCAGGCCTGGTGGCACATGCCTGTAACCCCAGCTACTCAGGAGGCTGAGGCAGGAGAATCGCTTGAACCCGGGAGAGGAGGTTGTGGTGATGCAAGATCGTGCCATTGCACTCTAGCCTGGGCAACAAGAGCGAAACTCGGTCTCAAAAACAAAAACAAAAACGAAAACAAAACCCAGAAAATAAGAAGTGTTGGTGAGGATGTGGAGAAATTGGAAACCTTGTGCTCTGTTGCTGGCAATGTAAAATGGTAGTCATTATGGAAAACAGTATGGTGGCTCCTCAAAAATTAAAAATTGAATTACCATATAATTTAGCAATTCCACTTCTGAGTATATACCCAAAGGAATTGAAAGTGAGGACTTGGCTGGGCACAGTGGCTCATGCCTTTAATCTCAGCACTTTGGGAGGCCAAGGTGGGCAGATCACTTGAGGTCAGGAGTTTGAGACCAGCCTGGCCACCATGGCGAAATCCCGTCTCTACTAAAAATACAAAAATTGGTTGGATGTGGTGGTGCATGCCTGTAATCCCAGCACTTTGAGAGGCTGAGGCTGGAGGATGGCGTGAACCTTGGAGGCGGAGATTGCAGTAAGCTGGGATGCACCACTGCACTCTCAGCCTGGGCAACAGAGCGACACTGTCTCTCTCTCTCACACACACACACACGTGGGGATTCAGACAGATATTTGTTCATCCATGTTTGTAGCAGCATTATTCACAATAGCCAAGGCATGGTAGCAATCTGATTGTCCTTTGACAGATTAATGGATGAGGAAAATATGGTCCATCCATACAGTGAATTTTTTTTTTTTTTTGAGACAGAGTCTTGCTCTGTCGCCCAGGCTGGAGTGCAGTGGTGTGATCTTGGCTCACTGCAAGCTCTGCCTCCTGGTTTCATGCCATTCTCCTGCCTCAGCCTCCCAAGTAGCTGGGACAACAGGCACCCGCCCCCACGCCCGGCTAATGTTTTGTGTTTTTAGTAGAGACAGGGTTTCACTGTGTTAGCCAGGATGGTCTCAATCTCCTGACCTCGTGATCCACCTACCTTAGCCTCCCAAAGTGCTGGGATTACAGGCGTGAGCCACCGCGCCTAGCCCATACAGTGAAATATTATTTAGTCTTTTTTTGCTTTTTGAGGTGGAGTCTCGCTCTGTCGCCAGGCTGGAGTGCAGTGGCATGATCTTGGCTCACTGCAACCTCTGCCTCCCAAGTTCAAGTGATTCTCCTGCCTCAGCCTCCCGAGTAGCTGGGACTACAGGTGCGTGCCAACACACCCAGCTAATTTTTGTATTTTTAGTAGAGACGGGGTTTCACCATGTTGGCCAGGATGGTCTCCATCTCTTGACCTTGTGATCTGCCTGCCTCAGCCTCCCAAAGTGCTGGGATTACAGGCGTGAGCCCCTCGCTCGGCTATTTAGTCTTAAACAGGAAGGAAGTTCTGATTGGGTGCTATTGCTCATACTTGTAACTCCAGCACTTTGGGAGGGTGAGGCAGGAGGATCATTGTAGCCTAGGAGTTTGAGACCAGCCTGGACAACATAGCAAGATCCCATCTCTCAAAAGAAAATTTTTTTTAACTTGGCATGGTGGTGTGTACCTATAGTTTTAGCTACTGGAGAAGCTGAGGTGGGAGGATCACTTGAGTCCAGGAGTTCAAGATTACAGTGAACTATGAGTGTGCCACTGTCCCCCAAAATGGGTGATAGAGTGACACCTTGTCTCTAAAAAAGAAAAGAGAAAAAAAGGAGGAGCCAGGCATGGGGGCTCACACCTATAATCCTAGCACTTTGGGAGGCCGAGGTGAGTGGGTCACTTGAGGTCAGGAGTTCGAGACCAGCCTGGCCAACATGGTGAAACCCCATCTCTACTAAAAATACTAAGATTAGTTGGGCATGGTGGTACATGCCTATAATCCCAGCTATTAGGGAGGCTGAGGCAGGAGAATTGCTTGAACTCAGGAGGCAGAGGTTGCAGTGAGCTGAGATCATGCCAGTGCACACCAGCCAGGGTGACAGAGCAAAAAAAAAAAAAAAAAAGAAAAAAAGAAAAAAAATTTAAATCTTAACACAGGCTACAACAGGGATATACTTCTTAAAGGACATTATGCTAAGTGAAATAAGCCAGTCACAGGCAGACAAATACTTTATGGTTCCACTTAAATGGAATTTGATACCTAGGGTAGTCAAATTCATAAAGACAGAAAGCAGAATGGTGGTTGCTAGGGGTTGGGGGGGCGGAGGAATGGGGAATTATTGTTTGATGGGTACAGAGTTTCAGTTTGGCAAGATGAAAAAGAATTCTGGAGATGGGCTGTGTTGATGGCTGCACAACAGTGTGAATTGTACTTACTACCACTGAACTGTACACCTAAAGATGGTTTCTGAAATTTTCTGTTATATATATTTTACCACAATTAAATCTTTTTTTTTTTCTTTTGTAGATGGAGTCTCGCTCTGTCACCAGGCTGGAGTGCAGTGGCACAATCTCGGATCACTGCAACCTCCGCCTCCCTAGTTCAAGCGATTCTCCTGCCTCAGCCTTCCAAGTAGCTGGAATTACAGGTGCACGCCGCCATGCCCAGCTAATTTTTTATTGTATTTTAGTAGAGACGGGGTTTCACCATGTTGCCCAAGCTGGTCTTGAACTCCTGAGCTCAGGCAATCTACCCACCTCGGCTTCTCAAAGTGCTAAGATTACAGGTGTGAGCCACCGTGCCCAGCCAAAGTTTTTCTTTAAAGTGTGAGTTGTTAGAGGATTAGGCAAAGGGTCGGTGTGGCCAAAGTGTGTAGGGAATGATGGGGAGGTAGAAAATGAAATTAAGAAGGTGGGGAGAGGGCCAGATGCGGTGGCTTACGCCTGTAATCCCATCACTTTGGGAGGTGGAGGCAGGCGGATCACCTAAGGTCAAGAGTTTGAGACCAGCTTAGCCAACATGGTGAAGCCCTGTCTCTACTAAAAATATAAAAATTAGCTGGGCGTGGTGGCAGGCGCCTGTACTCCCAGCTACTTGGGGGACTGACGCACGAGAATCGCTTGAACCCAGGAGGTGGAGGTTGCAGCGAGCTGAGATCGCGCCATTACACTGCAGCCTGGGCGACAAGAGCGAAACTCTGTCTCAAAAAATAAAAATAAAAATAAAGCATGACTCATTCAAATATAGAATGGAGGGCTCGGCATGGTGGCTCATGCCTGTAATCCCAGCACTTTGGAAGGCTGAGGCAGGCAGATAATTTGAGCCCCAGAGTTCGAGACCAGCCTGGGCAATAAGGTGAAACCCTGTCTCTACAAAAAATACAAAAATTAGCAGGGCATGGTGGTGTGCGCCTATAGTCTCAGCTACTTGAGAGGCTGAGGTGGGCAGATGGCATGAGCCCGGAGGTGGAGGTTGCAGTCAGCCAAGATTGCACCATTGTACTCCAGCCTGGGTGACAGAATGAGACCCCATCTCACACAAAACAAAAAACAAAACAAACAAATATAGAATTGACACGTCAGAAAAGTATTCTACTTGTCTAAGAGGAAACAGTCGGATGGTGAAGTTGGTTCAGAGAATGTTTTGAAGAAGTAGGTACTTGAGGAAGTGGGAATTTTAGATACAAAACTGGTTAATCTTCTGCAGGGTAATAAGAACTATAAGCTATGGGATTCTCTTTTGTACTGGAGAGAAATAATTCAAAACTCTACTGGACAAGGCCAGGAACAGTGGCTCATGCCTGTAATCCCAGCATTTTGGGAGGCCGAGGCAGGCAGATCACTTGAAGTCAGGAGCCTGAGACGGTAAAACCCCATCTCTACTAAAAAAAAAAAAAAAAAAAAATTAGCTGGTGGAGCATGCCTGTAGTCCCAGCTACTCGGGAGGCTGAGGCAGAAGAATTGCTTGAACCCAGGAGGTGGAGGTTGCAGTGAGCTGAGATCATGCCACTGCACTCCAGCCTAGGCAACAGAGTGAGACTCCATCTCAAAAACAAAAACAAACAAAAAACAACCAAAAACTGTACTGGACAAAAATCTGGGCCTTTAATCAATCAATACCTATGCAAACAAAGGAACAGTCCCTGGCCTATATAAGTAGTTGGTGGGCTACATCTGGCCTGGCTGCTTGTGTTTGTAATAAGATTTTAATTTTATTATTTTTAAAAATAAGAGATGGGGTCACACTATGTTGGTCTTGAACTCTTGGCCTCAAGCAATCCTCCCGCCTCGGCCGCCCAAAGTGCTGGGATTACAGGTGTGAGCCACCATGCCCGGCCTAAAATACAGTTTTATTGGAACACAGCCATACCCAATTATTTCTGTATCTCCCCAGGATGCTTTTGCTGTACAGAAATGGTGGACCATGATGACCGATAGAGTTGAGTAGTTGACAGATAGGAACCAGCCACAAAGCCTAAAATATTTACTACCTGGACCTTTACAGAAAGAGTTTGCTGATCCCTGCTAGAGAATTAAGTAATCTTTGGGTGAGCTTGTGAAACAAAGTCCTTGATGACATTGAAAGAACTACACTGCCCTCTCTTGGTCTTATTTCCAAAATTTGGATAATTTTTCTTAAAAAGGAGATGTTTGGTTTAAAAATTGGTGGGGCATTTTGAATTGTTATCCGTGGTCTGTATTTCCTAAATCTTCCCGTTCACTCACCCCATAACCCTGCCACCCTCTTTCTACATTGGCGACAATGCCTCTTAGTATCTGTCAAACTTGCATAACGAGATTTAGAAAATATGATTAAGTACAGAGTTTATTCAAGTGCAAGGTTTGAGGATGATCACCTGCGAAACACATACTCCAAAGGAATGGGATCAGTGTTGGAAAGAGAGGAAGCTAAGGTTTCACTTATATAGATAGAAACAGTTGCAGCTGAGTTGCAACATTTTCCATCCAAGGCCCATATGTATGTTACAGTCATTTGATTAAAACAGCTTGCTACATTTCAAGGAAGATGCTTTAACATTCTATGAAGAGGAGTAATGTCCTGAGAGGGTCTTATCTCTGGTGCTAGTGGGTCATTTCTTTCTTTTTTTTTTTCTTGAGATGGAGTTTCCCTCTGTCATCCAGGCTGGAGTGCAGTGGCGTGATCTTGGCTCACTGCAACCTCCGCCTCCTGGGTGCAAGTGATTCTCCTGCCTCAGCCTCCTGAGTAGCTGGGATTACAGGCCTGTGCCACCATGCCTGGCTATTTTTTTTTTTTGGTAGAGACAGGGTTTCCCCATGTTGGTCAGGCTGGTCTTGAACTCCTGACCTTGTGATCTGTCTGCCTCGGCCTCCCAAAATGCTGGGATTACAGGCGTGAGCCACTGTGTATTGCCCAGGCTTGAGTGCAGTGGTGCAATCTCAGCTCACTGCAACCTCTGCCTCCTGAGTTCAAGCAATTCTTCTGCCTCAGCCTCCCAAGTAGCTGGGATTACAGGTGCCCACCACCACGCCCAATTTTTATATTTTTAGTAGAAACGGGGTTTCGCCATATTGGCCAGGCTGGTCCCCAGCTCCTGATCTCAAGTGATTTGCCTGTCTTGGCCTCCCAAAGTGCTGGGATTACAGGCGTGAGCCACCGCACCCGGCCTACTGGGTCATTTCTAATCATTTACAGGACAAGCAGAAGTTGCAACTGCATACTACATGGCCACATTCCTCTCAAGGCTCAGAAGAAAGTTCCAGCAGCTTTAAGTTTGAATTATTTAATTTAAAATATCCCAGCTCTTGGCTGGGCACGGTGGCTCACACCTGTAATCCCAGCACTTTGGGAGGCCGAGGCAGGTGGATCACCTGAGCTCAGGAGTTCGAGACCAGCCTGCCAACATGGCAAAACCCTGTCTCTAATAAAAATGCAAAAATTAGCCAGGCATGGTGGTGGGCGCCTGTAGTCCCAGCTACTCGGGAGGTTGAGACATGAGAATCATTTAAACTTGGGAGGCAGAGGTTGCAGTGAGCCTATATTGGGCCACTGCACTGCAGCCAGGGCAACAGAGTGAGACTCCATCTCAAAATAAATAAATAAATAATAAAATAAAATATCCCAGCTCTTTCCTCTGAGGGTGGAACTTATGAAAGGCTCTTTTTAAGTGCAGGTAGGCCTGGAAAGCAATTGGTGGTGAGTAATGTCCTTTGCAACATCGTTTTTGCTCGAGAAGGCATTCTGTTTCTGACTCCTGTTAAGGCTTCTGTAACTGAAGGCCCATTCTCATGGAAGCTTTCCTTGGGAGGGCCCCTCAGCTCCTTAGAATGAAGCTCTAGAACTGTTGGAAGTTCTGAGAGGGCAATGCTGGTGCCTGCTTGACCACTGCTGTTTCTGGGTCCGGGCACATAGTAGGTGCTCAGTAAATATTTGTTGAGTGAACTAGAGCCAATGAAAGAATAGCATTTTGTCCTCTGCTCCGGGTCAACCCTGTGAGAGGAACCAAGTTTTGGTGACAAAGGCTGCCATCTGCAGGGAATAGGTGAAATGGCATTATTCAGAATTGCTAAATCCTGAGGACCATACAATCGATTTTGAGGCAAGATTAACATATATTTTCTCCTTTCGCTTTCTGGAGAATTAACATCATCTTGTCTTTTCCAATTAAGGAAACCTGAATCCTGCACCCTTTCTCAAATAACATTTTTAAGCTTTTATTTATTTATTTATTTTTTAAGACGGAGTCTTGCTCTGTCACCCAGGCTGGAGTGAAGTGGCGTGATCTCGGCTCACTGCAACCTCCGCCTCCCGGGTTCAAGCAATTCTCTTGCCTCAGCCTCCTGAGTAGCTGGGACTACAGGTGTGTACCACCACGCCCGGCTAATTTATTGTATTTTTAGTAGAGACAGGGTTTCACCGTGTTAGCCAGGATAGTCTCGATCTCCTGACTTCATGATCCGCCTGCCTCGGCCTCCCAAAGTGCTGGGATTACAGGCGTGAGCCACCAAGCCTGGACAGCTTTTGTTGTCTTTTAAATGGAGACAGGGTTTTGCTCTGTCACCCAGGCTGAAGTGCAGTAGCATGATCATAGCTCACTGCAGCTTCCAACTCCAGGGCTCAAGCGATCCTCCCATTTCAGCCTCCCGAGTAGCTAGGACTGGTGTGTGGCAACACATCTGGCTAATTTGTTTTTGTTTTTTTGTGGAGAAAGAGTCTTGCTATATTGTCCAGGCTGCATTTTAAAGCTTTTTGAGGGCTTAGTTAGCCATGCTGCATACTGTATACACCATGCTGTATGCACAAAACTGGTACCTAAGTACCACTATTTCCCTGTTTTATAGACGAAGAATCTGAACACAGAAAGCATGCCCAAAGTTATAGTGCTAGCAAGTGGCAGAACTAGGGATTTGAACCCAAACACTGTGGCTTCAGAAAGTGTGCTCGTTTTCTCTTTTCTTTTCTTTCCTTCCTTCTTTCTTTTTTTTTTTTTTTTTAAGACAGAGTCTCACTCTGTCACCCAGGCTGGAGTGCAGAGGCAATCTCAGCTCACTGCAACCTCTGCCTCCCGGGTTCAAGGGATTCTCGTGCCTCAGCCTCCCAAGTAGCTGTGACTACAGGCGCCCGCCACCAGGCCCCAGTAATTTTTGTATTTTTTAAACATTTTTCAGTAGAGAAAGGGTTTCACCATGTTGGCCAGGCTGGTCCGGAACTCCTGACCTCAAGTGATCTGCTCGCCTTAGCGTCCCAAAATGCTGGGATTACAGGCGTGAGTCACTACGCCCGGCCCAGTAGACCTTTTTTTTTTTTTTTTTTTTTGAGACAGAATCACACTTTGTGGCCCAAGCTGGAGTGCAGTGGTGCGATTTCGGCTCACTGCAACCTCCACCTCCTAGGTTCAGGCAATTCTCCTGTCTTAGCCTCCCAAGTAGCTGGGATTACAGGTGCACACCACCACGCCCAGCTAATTTTTTTGCATTTTTAGTAGTGACGGGGTTTCACCATGTTTGCCAGGCTGGTTTTGAATTCCTGACCTCAAGCCATCCGCCCGTCTTGGCCTCCCAAAGTTCCAGGATTACAGGTGTGAGCTACCGTGCCTGGCCTAGATCTTCTTTTTAAAAGCAGTTTTAGGTTCACAGCAAAATTGAGCAGAAGGTACAGAGATATATCCCCTGGATCACACAGGCCTAGCCTCCCCCATTATAGAATCTGTGCTTCTAATCATTTCACTATATTATCTCTCCATGCCTGATAGGAAAATATTTACATAAAACATATAGAAACATGGCAGATTGAGCCCATGCAGTTATCTCTGCTCTCTCCTGAAACACTCCTAAAATACTAGCAAAGGAATCAAAGAGGTATAAACCCACAAAGAGTGGGAGAAGACTGCTCATGAGAGATCTCAAATCCTTTTTAGAAGATAGAATGTAGATGAGTGGTTTACTTGGGAGGAGAAACCCTAGTTCTTGCAGGAGTTGCCAATGAGTAGCAAGGCACTTAGAGCTGATAAACCCCAGAAAGGCTCAGGAATTGGTTGAAGGCCCCTGTGCTGAGAGGTGGGACTGAAAACCAATAATTGATTGAATATAAATACCATCTGGGGGAAGCGTTAGACCCCTGATTCTCCTCCTTGTCACTCCCTAACCCCAATCTCTGCAGAAGATGAGATGCTTATTCCCTGGAGAACTTGAACCAGAGAAGTTCTGGGTCCAGGGATAGCAATCAGAGAAAACACTTGGAGGCGAGGCAACATCCTAAAAACAGAGGGATTAAATGAAAGTGTGCAGGCTGGGCACGGTGGTTCACGCCTGTAATCCCAGCACTTTGGGAGGCCGAGGTGGGTGGATCACCTGAGGTCGGCAGTTCAAGACCAGCCTGACCAATGTGGAGAAACCCCGCCTCTACTAAAAATACAAAAATTAGCTGGATGTGGTGGCAGGCGCCTGCAGTCCCAGTTACTCGGGAGGATGAGGCAGGAGAATCTCTTGAACCTGGGAGGTGGAGGTCACAGTGAGCTGAGATCATGCCACTACACTCCAGCCTGGGCAACAGAGTGAGACTCTGTCTCAAAAAGAAAGTGTGCAGCTAAAAACATTCTTAACATATTTTAAATAATCCTATGGTTGTGTGGTAGTATTGGTATCATTATTCTGTATTATTAGTATTGTTATTGGTATTGTTATTCTCTTTTTTTTGGGTGGAGGGATGGAGTCTTAATTGGAAGCATCAGTATGATGGATTTTATCTTGAAGAATACGTATTTCTGACCAGGGGCAGTGGCTCACGCCTGTAATCCCAGCACTTTGGGAGGCTGAGGTGGGTGGATCACTTGAGGTCAGGAGTTTGAGGCCAGCCTGGCCAACATTGTGAAACCCTGTCTCTACTGAAAATACAAAAATTAGCTGGGCGCTGTGGCATGTGCCTGTAATCCCAGCTACTTGGGAGGCGGAGGCAGGAGAATCGCTTGACCCTGGGAGGTGGAGGTTACAGTGAGCAGTGAGCCGAGATGGTGCCACTGCACTCCAGCCTGGGCAACAGAGAAAGACTCCATCTCAAAAAAAAAAAAAGAAAACAAACAAACAAAAAACGGCTGGGCGTGGTGGCTTACGCCTGTAATCCCAGCACTTTGGGAGGCCAAGGCGGGTGGATCACCTGAGGTCAGGAGTTTGAGACCAGCCTGACCAACATGGTGAAACCCCGTCTCTACTAAAAATAAAAAATTAGCCGGGAGAGGTGGTGTGTACCTGTGATCCCAGCTACTCAGGAGGCTGAGGCAGGGGAATCGCTTGAACCCGGGAGGCGGGGGTTGCAGTGAGCCAAGATCACGCCTTTGCACTCCAGACTGGGCAACAAGGGTGAAACTCTGTCTCAAGAAAAAAAAAAAAAAAAAAAAGAGGAAGAAGAAGAAGAATTCACTAACAGGCTGCCAGTAGCCAGTAAAAAGTAAGTGAAAGAGGAACTATCTGCAGGTCCCGAGGAAAGAATGAAAACATATTTACAACACAGAAACAGAAATAGCGGTGGAGGAGGAGAGAGCAGGGTCGCTCAGTGGGACCAGGAAGCCAGCTTACTTTCATTTTTTGAAGCTCCTTATATACAGAAAAAACAAATTTATTTTTTCATTTCACATTTGACAAATACTTTCAGCACCCCAAGATTAAAATGTAATGTAGATGTGCTGTCACCAGGTGATTGGATTTCTTTCTTTCTTTTTTTTTTTTTTTTGAGACGGAGTCTCACTCTGTCATTAGGCTGGAGTGAAGTGGTGCGATCTCAGCTCACTGCAACCTCCGTCTCCCAAGTTCAAGTGATTCTCCTTGCCTCAGCCTCCCAAGTAGCTAGGATTACAGGTGCCCACCACCACGCCTGGCTAATTTTTTTGTATTTTTAGTAGAGACGGGTTTTCACTATGTTGGCCAGGCTGGTCTCAAACTCCTGACCTCCTGATCCACCTGCCTCGGCCTCCGAAAGTGCTGGGATTACAGGCGTGAGCTGCCGCGTTGGGCCGTGATTGGATTTCTTAAAAGCCAGTTAATGAAACTGCAAGCAGAAGCCACCATACACCTATCAGAATAACTAAAAACAAAAATGAAAACAAAGGTGGCCATCCTAAGTGCCCGTGAGCATGGGAAACTGGGACTCTCATACCTTGTTATTGGGAAGGCAAATGGGCCAGTCACTTTGGAAAAAACTGGGCAGTTTCTTATATATTTAAACACATACTGACCATAAAACCCAGAAATCTCACTCCTAGGTATGTATATAAGAGAAATGAAACATATGTTTTATTTTTAACCACCAAAACCTAGAAAAACCCAAATTCCTTCAACTGATGAATGGATGGATAAATTGCAAAGGAGCCATTTTTGTAATACTTGCCACCAATAAAAAGAATGGACTGGGGCCGGACGTGGTGGCTCATGCCTGTAATCCCAGCACTTTGGGAGTCCAAGGCAGGTGGATCACCTGAGGTTGGGAGTTCAAGACCAGCCTGACCAACATGGAGAAACCTCGTCTCTACTAAAAATACAAAATTAGCTGGGCATGGTGGCACATGCCTGTAATCCCAGCTATTCGGGAGGCTGAGGCAGGAAAATCATTTGAACCCAGGAGGTGGAGGTTGCGCTGAGCCAAGATCATGCCATTGCACTTCAGCCTGGGCAACAAGAGCGAAACTCCATCTCAAAAAAAAAAAAAAAAAAAAAAGAATGGACTGGGCCAAGCACGGTGGCTCATGCCTCTAATCCCAGCACTTTGGGAGGCTGAGGCAGGAGGATCATTTGAGGCAGGAGTTTGAGATCAACCTGGGCAACATAGTGAAACCCCGTCTCTACAAAAAATTGTAAAAAATAAAAAAATAATGAACTGAAAGAAATTTTTGCATATATGGCTAGAGGAGTTTCAACAAGCATGCCAAGACTACACAATGGAGAAAGAAGAGTCCCTTCAACAAATGGTGCTGGGAAAACTGGAAATCACGTGCAGAAGAATGAAGCTGGATCCTTACTTTATACCAGATAACAGAAATAAACTCAAAATGGATTAAAGAACTCAAAATGTTAAGACCTCAAAACTCCTAGAAGAAAACATAAGGGAAAAGCTTCAGGATACTAGATTTGGCAATGATTTCTTGGATAAGACACCAAAAGCACAGACAACAAAAGAAAAAATAGACAAATGGAACCACATCAGAGTAAAAACTTGTGGATATCAAAGGTAAAAATCAACAGAGTGAAAGGCAACCCAATGGAATAGGAGAAAATATCTGTAAATCACTTATCTGATAAGAGGATAATTTCCAGAATATATAGGGAACTCCTACAACTGAACAATGATAATGAACAACCCAATTAAAAAATGGGCAACTGACTTGATAGACATTTCTGCAAAGAACATATACCAATGGTCAACAAGCACACAAAGAGATTCACAACATCACTAATCATTAGGGAAATCAAAACCATGAAATATCAACTTATACCCATTAGGATGATAACTATCAAAAGAACAGAAAACCATAAGTGTTGACAAAGATTTAGAGAAGTTGGGATGCTTATGCACTGTGTTTGGGAATATAAAATGGTACAGCCATTATGGAAAACAGCTAATTTTTTTACTTTCATAGAGATGGGGTCTTGCCAATGGCCCAAGCTGGCCTATTAACTCCTGGCCTCAAGTGATTCTCCCGGCTTGGTCTCTCAAAGTGCTGGGATTACAAACGTGAGCCACTTTGCCCACATGTTCTACATCTTTATTGTGGTTGTGGTTAATGTGACTGTATGTGTTTGTTAAAACTCATAAAACTAGGCTGGACATGGTGGCTCATGCCTGTAATTCCAGCACTTTGGGAGGCCAAGGCGGGTGGATCACTTGAGGTCAGGAGTTCAAGACCAGCCTGACCAACATGGTAAAACCCCATCTCTACTAAAAATACAAAAAAAATTAGCTAGGCATGGTGGCACATGCCTGTAATCCCAGCTACTTGGGAGGCTGAGGCAGGAGAATTGCTTGAACCCGGGAGCCAGAGGTTGCAGTGAGCTGAGATTCTGCTATTGCACTTCAGCCTGGGCACAAGAGCAAAATTCCGTCACAAAAAAACAAAAACAAAAACAAAAAAACTCATAAAATTGAGCCGGGTGTGTGGCATGCACCTGTAGTCCTAGCTACTCTAGAGGCTGAAGTGGGAGGATCCCTTTAGCCCAGGGGTTCAAGGCTGCAGTGAGCTATGATTGCACCACCTTACTCCAGCCTGGGCAACAGAGTGAGACTCTGTGTCTACCCAAAAATAAAAATAGAAAAGGAAAGAAGAAATATTCATAGAATTGCCCACCAAAGAAACCTGTACCCTGATGTGTAAGAAAAACCTTACATCAAAACTATTACACAAAAAATATATACTGCATATAAATTATCCCTCTATAAACCTAAGAAGAAAGAAATGTGGAGCAAGCATGGCAAAATGTCAATTTCTGAATAATCTTGGAGGAGTACACAGTGGCCTTCTTTTCTGTGCCTTTTATCCTGTTTGGAAAGTTTCTTTTCTTTTCTTTTCTTTTTTTTTTTTGAGAGAAGTCTCGCTCTTGTCCCCCAGGTTTAAGTGCAATGGCTTTATCTTGGCTAACTGCAACCTCAGCCTCCCGGGTTCAAATGATTCTCCTGCCTCTGCCTCCCAAGTAGCTGGGATTAAGGCACCTGTCACCACGCCTGACTAATTTTTGTGTTTTTTAGTAGAGACGGGGTTTCACCATGTTGGCCAGGCTGGTCTCGAACTCCTGACCTCAGATGATCCGCCTGCTTCGGCCTTCCAAAGTGCTGGGATTACAGGTGTAAGCCACCGTGCCCGGTCCCTGTTTGGAAAATTTCAATCTGAAAAGAATAAAAACAAAAATGATTTTTTAGAAAGCCGAGTTTATTCAAACTGCAGTCTGGTTCAATAATAGGATGCAAGGTTAAAACTGTATGGTAAGCTGGGTATGGTGACTCATGCCTGTAATCCCAGCACTTTGGGAAGCTGAGGTGGGTGGATCACTAGAGGTCAGGAGTTTAGAGACTAGCCTGGTCAACATGGTGAAACCCTGTCTGTACTAAAAATACAAAAATTAGCCAGGTGAGGTGGCAGGCATGTGTAATCCCAGCTACTTGGGAGGCTGAGGCAGGAGAATCACTTGAACTGGGAAGGTGGAGGTTGCAGTGAGCTGAGATTGGGCCACTGCACACCAGCCTGGGCAAAAGAGTGAGACTCCATCTCAAAGAAAAAAAAAAAAAAGAAACCCAAAAAGAAAAAAAAATAACAACTGTATGGTAAACAAGGAATTCTTATTTCATTCCTGTTGGTGAATGTCTGTGACTGTATGTATGACTTTCTTTTAGAAAAGGTCAAATGCAAATGTGAGACCTTTCAAGAATGTGAAGTCTGCTCAAATAGTCCTTCTGTCCCCGTAATGTTTCAGAAAACACTTAAAGAACAAGAATAGGCTGGGCGCGGTAGCTCACGCCTGTAATCCCAGCACTTTGGGAGGCCGAGGCGGGTGGGTTACTAGGTCAGGGGTTCAAGACCAGCCTGGCCAAGATAGTGAAACCCCGTCCTACTAAAAATACAAAAATTAGCCAGGCATGGTGGCGGGCACCTGTGGTCCCAGATACTTGGGAGGCTGAGGCAGGAGAATTGCTTGAACCTGGGAGGTGGAGGTTGCAGTGAGCTGAGACCGCTCCACTGCACACTAGCCTGAGCGACAGAGCAAGACTCCATTTCAAAAAAAAAAAAAAAAAAAAAAGAACAAGAATAGTACTCAGTGGTTGATGAGGTACGTGGGGACTGGGAGAATGAGAGCAGTTGAGGATTATTTTCTTCTGGGCGTTGATCTGGAAATCAATTACCCGACTAGTTACTTCAGTCAAAATGGTACAGCCAATCCTCCGTCTTCACACAGTCTTGATCCCTTTGTAGATCTAAAGCAACCCCTTTAGGAAGCTTTGTGACTCTGCCACCTCATTTGTGAAATGTTTGGGAGAGATTAATAAAAATAGATATACTAATCACTAGAAAAAAATTTCTACTTTTTCTTTTGAGACAGGGTCTCACTCTGTTGCCTAGGCCAGACTGCAGTGGTGTGATCATGGCTCACTGCAGCCCTTGACGTCCTGGCCTCAAGCGATCCTCCCACCTCAGCCTCCAGAGTAACTGGGTTCACAGATACGTGCCACCATGCCCAGCTAATTTATTAATTTTAAACAGGTTGGAAGCCATGACTTCAGCAATAACAAGAACAACAACAATAATAACCAATTCACCTCAAACCACACCAAAGAGCAAGACAGAGTGGTTGACACTACCTTGTGAAGTTAGCCTTAGTTTTTTTTCCCTACTTACATACTCCTCCTATCTTTGATTTTTTTTCCTTTCAGGCTTCTCATATATGGCGACTTCTCATATATGGCAGCTTCTCAGCACAGAATTCTAAAAAGCTGAATTGTCTTGATCCTCCCAATGTCAGCATACACTATAAGGAATTGTGAATGCCAATAATCCTGGAGAAACAGATGGATATTTGAAATCACAAACATTTATGCACAAACCAAATGTTGAGGTTTTGGGCACAATATGGAGCTCGATCTTAGCCACTCTTGTGTCCTTCCATCCTAATGAGGGAACCTGCTAAGGCCAGGGACAAAAGGAAGGGAGAAAGGGTGTTCTGGGTTGAAAGATGAAAACAGGCTGGCAGAAATGGGTCACCTGTGAAATGAAAAGTTCCAGTGTTCCTAATGTTTGCAAACTGTATCTGGGTAGGTGCAATCCTCATTCAGAGTCAAATATCATAAAATTACTTTGGGGCCATCTACCACGTGTTTGTTTGAGATTGGACAAAAGAGGCGGTGAAATTGGCAAATCATATCATAGCAGGTCCTGGTTGGAATAATGGGATATCAGACTTGAAGAGGACCTCAGAGGTCCTATAACCATAACAAAAATTATAAAACTGGATGGGAGTGGTGGCTTACGCCTGTAATCCCAGCACTTTGGGAGGCCAAGGTGGGCGGATCACTTGAGGTCAGGAGTTCAAGAACAGCCTGGCCAATATGGTGAAACCCCGTCTCTACTAAAAATACAAAAATTGGCTGGGCTTGGTGGCAGGTGCCTATAATCCCAGCTACTTGGGAGGCTGAGGCAGGAGAATCACTTGAACCTGGAAGGCAAAGGTTGCACTGAGCCGGGATCCTGCTACTGCACTCTAGCCTGGGTGACAGAGTGAGACTCCATCTCAAAAAAAAAAAAAAATTATAAAGCTAAAGGATGAGTTATCAAAATTTAATCCAGCAGTCTAAAATTTCAAAACAGAAAATAGAACAAAATGGTTCACAGGTATTAAGGAATAGGAAAGAAAGTAGAGGGCTGGAAGTAAAGAGGTTTAAAAAGGAAAACAAACAGGCCCTGGTTTTAGAAGTTATGAGATGAAGGTTTGGAAAATATACTTTTTTTTTTTTTTTGAGACGGAGTCTCGCTGTGTCACCAGGCTGGAGTGCAGCGGTGTGATCTCGACTCACTGCAACCTCTGCCTCCCAGGTTCAAGCAGTTATCCCGCCTCAGCCTCCTGAGTAGCTGGGACTACAGGTGCCCACCACCATGCTCAGCTAATTTTTGTATTTTTAGTAAAGACGGGGTTTCACCATGTTGGCCAGGGTGGTCTTGATCTCTTGACCTCGTGATCCACCCGCCTCAGCCTCCCAAAGTGCTGGGATTACAGGCGTGAGCCACCATGCCCGGCCTACTTTTGGTTATTTTTTTTAAAAGGGGAAGCATTTAATCAGTTATTAAAAGCAGTCCAGAATTTCAGTCAGATGCTAAAGCAATCCTTTGCAGAAAAAAAGAAGTATCTGTCTTACACATTTGAGTGATTCAATTATATTTTTATACACTGTCTCTGGAATGCCACAGGAAGGTGCTAAAGATATCACTTTGATGATTTAGTTTTGCTAAATACATTTAATAAACTAGATATATATACTGTTTGACATCCTTTTGAATTGGTATATACATTTCTTGAATAAATACTGTGTTATGTTTAAGGTTTTTTTGTTTTGGAGTGCAGTGGCACTATCATGGCTTACTGCAGCCTCAAGCTCTCCAGACTGAGGCGATCCTTCCACCTCAGCCTCCTGAGTAGCTGGGACTACAGGAATGTGCCACCATACCTGGCTAATTTTTGTATTTTTTGTAGAGATGTGGTTTCACCATGTTGCCCAGGCTGGTCTCAACTCCTGGACTCAAGCGATCCTCCCAAAGGGCTGGGAGTACAGGTGTGAGCCACTGTGCCTGGCCACGTCTAAGTACTTCGACATCTACTTCTGAACTGTATGGAGATTAAGTGTCAAAGGTGCAGCCAACATTCTTGGGCTTGGGTACCTCCTAAATAAGCCCATTCAGAATGGAGAGGGTTTCCTAAATCGTAGGGTCTCCAGGTCGTTTTGTAGCATTACAGTGGATTTGCTTTGTTTTCCCCTTTAAGATGTCTAAATTATTTTACTTAATTTTTGTAAAAGATTTTTGTCTTTAAATAGGTTCTTAGGCCTGGCGTGGTGGCTCATGCCTGTAATCCTAGCTCTTTGGGAGGCTGAGGCGGGAGGATCACTTGAGGCCAGGAGTTTGTGACTAGCCTGATCAACATAGTGAGACCCCCTCTCTACAAAAAATAATAAAAGGTATTAAGTGTTCATTTGTCCCCTTTATCACAATACAGCAGACAGAAGTTATCTGGCAACCTTGTGAGATGCAGCTAAAATAAAAAGGTGAAGCCAGTGTTGACAGAGTCTGGGATAGAGAAAATTCAGAGACAGTGATCTCACAGATCCCTGTGCTCCTTCCAAACACCCACGTTAGTGGCGTTGGGACGGCGCTTCCTAAATTTCCGTCCAACTCATCTGCTTGCGTCCGGACATTTGTTAAAAATATTTATTCCTGGCTGGGAGTGGTGGCTCACGCCTGTAATCCCAACTACTCAGGACTCAGGAGGCTGGAGCAGGTGGATCACTTGAACCAGGAGTTCGATACCAGTCCGGGCGACGGAGGGAGACCTCGTCTTTACAAAAAAAAAAAAAAAAAAAAAAAAATACAAAAATTAGCTGGGTATGGTGGCGCGCGCCTGAGTTCCCAGCTACTCAGGAGGCTGAAGTGGGAGGATTGCTTGAGTCCCAGAGGTCGAGGCTGCAGTGAGCCGAGATCGCGCTACTGCACTCCAGCCTGGGCGACAGAGTGAGACCCTGTCTCAAAAAAAATCCCCCAAAAACTGATTCCTGGGTCCTGCCCTAGACTAACTGACTCAGGATCTCCTGAGGTGGTACCTGGAAATCCGTCTTTTTTTTTTTTTTTTTTTTTTTTGGTTGAGACAGAGTGTCACACTGTCGCCCAGGCTGGAGTGCAGTGGCACGCTCACGGCTCTCTGTAGCCTTCACCTCCCGGGTTCAAGCGATTCTTCTGCCTCAGCCTCCCGAGTAGCTGGAACTACAGAAAATCTGCATTTTTTAAGCAAGCGCCGCGGACCGGTTGGAAACCACAGCCGGGATTTACACGCCCCTCGTTTACGCCAGCTTCACACCCGCTCACTAGTGCTCGCCCCTGTGCCTGCCATCGCTGCCTCACCCAGGCGCCGCCCTCCGGCCTCATCCGGGATCCGCCCCCTGCCTCATCCAGGCTTCGCCCCAGTCAGTCTCCGGCAGCTTCTCGCGGCTTCGCAAGCCCCTTCCCGTGATGCCCCGCGCCTGGCTGTCGCGGTTGCCGGGCAACGCGCTGTCCATGTCGCGGGCCTCGCTGGGACTCCCTGGGAGATGAGGCCGCGAGGTCTCCCGCCGCTCCTGGTGGTGCTCCTGGGCTGCTGGGCCTCCGTGAGCGCCCAGACCGATGCCACCCCGGCGGTGACGACAGAGGGCCTCAACTCCACCGAGGCAGCCCTGGCCACCTTCGGAACTTTCCCGTCGACCAGGCCCCCCGGGACTCCCAGGGCTCCAGGGCCCTCCTCCGGCCCCAGGCCTACCCCAGTCACGGACGGTGGGTACCATGTGCCAGCTCCTGGAGTCCACAGTGATCCAACCTCAAGGGGACAGCCCCGGTGAGGACGTAATAATGATAGCTAACTCTTATTGAGCACTTACTGTGTGCAGACACTGCTGAGTGTTCCATAAACGTCCATTCTCTAAACAATAACCCTGAGAAGTAGCTGTTACTATCACTGTCAGGTAAATGAGAAAACCGGGTCTCAGAGTTTAAGTGGAACGGTATCAAACCTTTGAAAATACTTGAAGTGGTCCCAGACAACAGTGATGCAAAGAGCAATAATGAATTCTTGCAGCCCAAGACGAAATTAAGTCGAGACAATGGTGGAAATTAGTGCCTTGGCTGCACTGAACTTTCACTTAAAGAGAGGCCAAAGGTCTATCTTACTAAATGTGACTATGTTAAGACCCTTCTCTGTTGACCTGAATTCTAAAAACCCAGGATTCCTCCTGTGTTGAATTGGAGGTGGAAAGCTATTGAGGGAGGGGTTATGCTCACTTCTTAGGAGTCATATGTAGGGATAATTAACATTTTTTTCAGAAAATGATTAATTCTAGAATTACACATTTAGTGGAAATATTTTATAATCTAATTTGACGTTTGGCTGGCGCCGTGGCTCACGCCTGTAATCCCAGCACTTTGGGAGGTCAACTCGGGTGGATTGCTTGAGGTAGGAGTTCAAGATCAGTCTGGTCAAAATGGCGAAACCCAGTCTCTACTAAAAATAGAAAAAATAGCCGGGCATGGTGTAATCCTAGCTACTCGGGAGGCTGAGGCAGGAGACTCGCTTGAACCCAGGAGGCAGAGGTTGCAGTAATTACCACTGCACTCCAGACTGGGCGACAGAGCAAGACTGTCTCAAAAAAAAAAATTGACATGGATGACTTCACTGAATGACTGTGACCCGCTAAGATTGAGTGCAAAACTTTGTGAATATGCCTTTTCCTGAGATGAGAGTTCATAGCAGCCGATTCTTAAAGTGGTTCATGATCTCAAAAAAAGTTTTTAAAATTTTCCGATTGTGTGAATTGAGAGTAACCCCAATAGATATGCAGTACTTTTAATCTTTTTTTATTCTTTTTTTGTTTTTGAGACAAGGTCTCGCTCTGTTACCCAGGCTGGAGTGCAGTGGCGTGATTATATCTCACTTAAGTCTCAATCTGCTGGGCTCAAGGGATCCTTCTGCCTCAGCCTCCAGAGTAGCTGGAACCACAGGCGTGCTCCCCCAGCTTGCTTTTTTTATTTTTTTATTTTTAGTAGAGATGAGATCTCGCTATGTTGTTCAGGCTGATCTCAAACTCCTGGGCTCAAGTGATCCTCCCACCTTGGCCTTCCAAAGTGCTGGGATTACAGGTGTAAACAACTGTGCCCAGCCTATCCCTTCTTAAGAAGATCTTTTCTCAAATTGATTAAGGCTCAGTATTAGTAAGTAAAAAAGTCATCAGCTGAGATCTTGAACTCTAGGACTTAACTGCGGTTACTGAACCTTTATTTCTCCAAAAGCTCTCCTTTCTGAATTACGAGTAATCTGAAAGAAAAAGTACAGAGAAATATATTTGCTATTTTAATATATAAACAGAGCTCTGTTTTATATTTAAATTGTTGATTTGATGAATTAGTAGGGAAGTTAAATCAGTGATAAACTGGGACAGAAGAAAGCCAAGTATTCAATGCCTGAAACTCTAAAGTTTTTGGACTGGATTGTCTTTTATTCATGTAAGTACTCCATCTGTTAATGCATTTTCTCTCCAAAATAAAGCTATGCTTGAAACATCATTATTATAGCATGTGTTCAAGGCTGTTTTTCCAGTATAGGGGATGAATTTGTGCTTGTCCTCACACTTTATTTTTTTTTTTTTTGGTCACAGGGTCTCACTCTGTCACTCAGGCTGGAGTATAGTGGCATGATCACAGCTCACTGCAGCCTCGACCTCCTAGGCTCAGGTGATCTTCCCACCTCAGACTCCCGGGTAGCTGGAACTACAGGTGCTGCATGCCACCACGCCCGGCTAATTTTTTGTAGGGACGGGGTTTCACCATGTTGCCCAGGCTGGTCTTGAACTCCTGGCCTCAAGTGATTGCCCACCTAGGCCTCCCATAGTGTTAGGATTACAGGCTTGAGCCACTGCACTCTGCCAGTCACCTGTCTTCACCTTTTTAAAGGACCTCTCTTTAGACTTGTGACAGTAATAACTCATTTGTTAACTGTTCACTGTGTGGCAGGCACTGTGCTAAGCATTTCACCTATGATGTATCTCATTTAATCCTTACAACAACCCCATGATGAGGGTACTGTTATCCCCATTTTTCAGGTGGATAAATTATTTGCCTAATTTTAGGACACGCAACTTGTAGATATCGGAGCAGGAGGCTGACTGTGAGTGGAGAACTGGATGGAAAATTGCAGGTGGCTTCAGGCAGTGTTGGTGGAGAAGAGTGATAACCCTTCATCTTGAATCTGGGCTCTGTTCATTAGTACCCTGCTCTACAAGCCAGGTGTGCAGATGCGATAGGAGGCAAGGGCAGCTGAGTGCTGCTTAGACCTGACAGGGGCTCAACAGCTACTTGGTGGATGATTAAGTACACTCGCATCCTGGGTAGAAACCTTTTTCCTAAGTGGAGTTATTAAACACTATTGCTTCGTCCTTAGTAGTCTTACAGCTGCCTATAAGGGCTTTAAGTTTTGAAAACAAAGCAAGATAGTAATTTTAAACATACAGGGAACCTAAAGCACTTTTAATTTTTTACATTAGCGTGCATAAGTTGTGTCATTTTACTAGGCACATAGAAGAGTTCTCAACTAGAGAGAAGCACTGTAAACTTTAGGGGGAAAGCTTTTGTGTCTTAGACTAAGAAATCATGGCATATTAACAAAACCTTCCCCTTCACCTCACACATTTTTTTTGCAGAGTGCATTATACCTTTTACGGGGTACTATTTTTTTTTTTTTAATTGCCCAGGCTGGAATGCAGTGGCGCAGTCTCAGCTCACTGCAACCTCCACCTCCCAGGTTCAAGCGATTCTCCTGCCTCAGCCTCCCAAGTAGCTGGGATTACAGCCGCGCGCCACCATGCCTGGCTAATTTTTTTGGTATTTTTAGTAGAGATGGGGTTTTACCACGTTGGCCAGGCTGGTCTCAAACTCCTAACCTCAGGGGATCCACTCTTCTCAGCCTTCCAGAGTGCTAGGATACAGGCGTGAGCTATGGGATACATTTTTCTTTTCTCTTTTTCTTTCTTTTTTTTTTTTTGAGATGGAATCTTGCCCTGTCACCCAGGCTGGAGTGCAGTGGCACGATATCGGCTCACTGCAAACTCTGCCTCCTGGGTTCAGGCTATTCTTCTGCCTCAGCCTCCTGAGTAGCTGGGACTACGGGTGTGTGCCACCATGCCCGACTAATTTTTGTATTTTCAGTAGAGACGGGGTTTTACCATGTCGGCCAGGCTGGTCTGGACCTCCTGACCTCGTGATCCACCTGCCTCAGCCTCCCAAAGTGCTGGGATTACAGGCTTGAGCCACTGCATCCGGCCGCTGTGGGGTACATTTTTCTAAAGCTCCTTTTTATCGTGAAATAATTCATACGTACAAATAAGAATGTTGGGTGGACACTAGCAGCATTTGCTTCAGATTCCTTTTTTGTTAATTTTGTTTTTTGGCTTGAGATCTTTTTTTTTTTTTTTTTGAGATGGAGTCTCACTCTGTCATCCAGGCTGGAGTGCAGTGGTGTGATCTCAGTTTACTGCAACCTCTGCCTTCTGGGTTGAAACGATTCTCCTGCCTCAGCCTCCCTGAGTAGCTGGGATTACAGGCGCCCACCACCATACCTGGCTAATTTTTGAATTTTTTTTTTGAGATGGAGTCTCGCTCTGTCGCCCAGGCTGGAATGCAGTGACGCGATCTCGGCTCACTGCAAACCCCGCCTCCTGGGTTCACGCCATTCTCCCGCCTCAGCCTCCCCAGTAGCTGGGACTACAGGTGCCCGCCACCACACCCAGCTAGTTTTTATATTGTTAGTAGAGACGGGGTTTCACCGTGTTAGCCAGGATGGTCTCAATCTCCTGACCTTGTGATCCGCCTGCCTTGGCCTCCCAAAGTGCTGGGATTACAGGCATGAACCACCGCGCCCAGCCTAATTTTTGTATTTTTAATAGAGACAGGGTTTAACCATGTTGGCCAGGGCAGTCTCAAACTCCTGACCTCAAGTGATCTGCCCGCCTCCCAAAGTGCAGGAATTACAGATGTGAGCCACCGTGCCTGGTTTGAAATCTTCTTTTGAAAAAGAAAACGTTACAGATAAGATTGAAGGTTGATCTTACTTCTTCCCTTCCAGCAATAATTGCAACTATAAATTCATTCTCTATTTTTTAAAAGGGTTTTCTTGTCCTTATTTGACAGAATAAGATAGAGAATTAAAAATCCAGATAATCATCTTTGTTGCAAAGCGGCAAAGAAAAATCATCCTTATTAATGATTAAAAGTTGACCAGGAGTGGTGGCTCACACCTGTAATCCCAGCACTTTGGGTGGCTAAGGCTGGCAGATCACTTGAGGTCAGGAGTTTGAGACCAGCCTGGCCAACATGGTGAAACCCCGTCCCTAATAAAAATACAAAAAAAAAAAAAAAGTTGGGCGTGGTAGTGCATGCCTTTAATCCCAGCTACTCAGGAGGCTGAGGCAGGAGAATAGCTTGAACCCAGGAGGTGGAGGTTGCAGTGAGCCAAGATTGCACCATTGCACTCCAGCCTGGGCAACAAGAGCCGAAACTCCTTTAAAAAATAAATAAATAAATAAAATAATTAAAAGTTGTGAGGTGGGGGAGATTCCTACCCCGCCCTCATACCTTATTGTCTAAATCACCAAAGACATTCTGAGCACCTGAGCCGGTATGATTCTTGGCCAAGGGTCTGTGAATATGAGTTCAGCTTTAAAGCAGCAGGTTATACGTGAAGAGGGGGCAAGATTGAAAAGTCTCTTTCCTGAAGGTTTAAGTGGGCCCTTCCTCTGAATCGTAATCTCTAGAGGAGGGGCTTAAGGACTTTGGAGTTTTAAACTGGTGGTTCTTATGGTCAGGCAAATGGTTTAGGGGTGCTTGTTCTTAAACTTGTCTAATTATAAGCATCACCTGGAAAGTTTCTGAAAACTGCAAATGCCTGGGTTTCATATTCAGCTTACGAAATCAGCATCTCTGTAGGCAAAGCACTAACAGAACTTTCCAAGCGAGTCAGATCATTAGCCACTTTGGGGAAACCTCTGATTGTGGGATGCTCAAACTGACTCATTTCCACTTCACAAATTTCCCCCAAAGTGCAATAGGAAAAATAAAATGGATCTTTTTTATGAAATTGACTTATGGTACACTGTGGTGGCAGGGGGCAGTCACCACCTGCTGATGGTGATGTTCTGGATCCTACCCCTCTTTTTTCTGCAGTTGCTGTTCTCTGTGTCTGTGACTTATCCCCAGCACAGTGTGACATCAACTGCTGCTGTGATCCCGACTGCAGCTCCGTGGATTTCAGTGTCTTTTCTGCCTGCTCAGTTCCAGTTGTCACGTAAGTTTACGTATGACACATGCAATTTTGAAAAAATTTGACCAGGATAATACAATTTGGAGAAAGGGAAAACTTTCCCAGGCTTAAAAACCCAAACCTGATTTCCAGTGTTTTACGTCGTTCTGAAGCCATACCGTCCAAACAAATATGTAAAAAAGTAGCTATCCCTGGCAGGGCGCAGTGGCTCACGCCTGTAATCCCAGCACTTTGGGAGGCTGAGGTGGGTGGATCACGAGGTCAGGAGATTGGGACCATTCTGGCTAACACGGTGAAACCCCGTCTCTACTAAAAATCCAAAAAAATTAGCCGGGCATGTTGGCGGGCACCTGTGGTCCCAGCTACTCGGGAGGCTGAGGCAGGAGAATGGCGTGAACCCGGGAGGCAGAGCTTGCAGTGAGTGGAGATTGCGCTACTGCACTCTAGCCTGGGTGACAGAGCGAGACTCAGTCTCAAAAAAAAAAAAAGTAGCTATCCCTTATTTGCATTCAGCCAGGTGACTGTGCAGGCAAAAGAGAAGAGAGAATATACATTAAAATAATGTAATGAAACCTCTGTGTTTGAAGATTGAATTACATTTCAATTTGAGTTGTAGACAGTGGTCACATTTTTTGTATCAGTGAATTAGTATAGCCTAGGGTGAAAAGTGCATTTTAATTTCACAGCTTTTGTTGTGGACATAGTATTTGTAACAAAAAATTAGATAAGAAATCTGTACTTTTCTGATATGTAAATCTACCAGGAATTCTCACAGTTCGCATTGTATAGAACAATGAAAAATGACATTTCCAGCTGATTATAAGGTAAATAAATAATCTGTTCTGAATGATCTCTTATAATTGAGGTTTCAAGGCTTCTTTTTTTTTTTTTTTTTTATGAGATGGAGTCTCGCTCTGTTGCCCAGGCTGGAGTGCAGTGGTGTGATAGTGGCTCACTGCAACCACCGCCTCCTGGCTTCAAGCAATTCTCCTGTCTCAGCCTCCTGAGTAGCTGGGACTACAGGTGCACGCCACGATGCCTGGCGTATTTTTAGTAGAGGTGGGGTTTCACCATATTGGTCAGGCTGCTCTCGAACTCCTGACCTCAGGTGATCCGCCCTCCTTGGCCTCCCAAAGTGCCGGGATTTCAGGTGTAAGCCAACGCGCCCAGCTTCAAGGCTTTTTGAAAAACTAGGAGCACTTAGAAGAGGCTCATTAATTCAGGATGGGACCAACTTAGTATTCAGAGATAGCTAATTTAAATTTAGCCTTATAGCAAGTTTTAGCAATTGATACTTGATAGGTGAACCCTTTTAAGAAGTACAATGGGTTTTTCCTGTGAGAAACTATTTTATTGACCAATGGGATTTTGAGCCTATTTCTAGTATTGTAAAAATGCTCAGAGAACAGGGCAATGTAGTCAGATTAATTTTCTGGCTACCTGGCCTGTAGCATGTTTCAGTATTTGTTGAAAGTCATTCTGTTTTCCTCCCTTTAGTAAATACAGGAGCCTGAAAGTGACATTTTTGCTCCAACTTGGGGCTATTTTTTTTTTTTTTGAGACAGAGTCTTGCTCTGTTGCCCAGGCTGGAGTGCAGTGCCTCCATCTCGGCTCACTGCAACCTCTGCCTGCTGGCTTCAAGCAATTTTCCTGCCTCAGCCTCCCAACGAGCTGGGACTACAGGCGTGTGCCACCATGCCCAGCTAATTTTTTGTATTTTTAGTAGAGACAGGGTTTCACCGTGTTAGCCAGGCTGGTCTTGAACTTCTGACCTCGTGATCCGCCCACCTCGGCCTCCCAAAGTGCTGGGATTACAGGCGTGAGCCACTGCGCCTAACCTGGAAGATCTCTTTTCTCCTTAACCATTAGTACCTAGTAGAGCTCCTGCCACATAGTGGGCCCTCGTTAAGAATGAGTTGAATTGGCTGGGCATGGTGTCTCACGCCTGTAATCCCAGCACTTTGGGAGGCTGAGGCATGTAGATCACTTGAGGTCAGGAGTTTGAGACCAGCCTGGCCAAGATAGTGAAACCCCGTGTCTACTAAAAATACAAAAATCAGCTGGGCGTGGTGGTGGGTGCCTGTAATCCCAGCTACTCAGGGGGCTGAGGTGGGAGAATCGCTTGAACCTGGGAGGCAGAGGTTGCAGGAGCCAAGATCGCACCATTGCACTCTAGCCCGGGCAACAAGAGCGAAACTCCATAAAAAAAAATAATAATAATAATAATGAGTTGAATGGATGAATGAATTTCTCCCTTCCACCTCTAACTGATTTCCTAGTGTCCCTTGTTGACTTCCTCTACCATTAGTCTTTTAGGCCGACACCAGGCCAAAAACCTGGAGGCTCCCCTGACCCTTGCCTCTTCCTTTCCTTTTCCTGTCTCAGCAGTCTTTCCTTTCTCCCAACCTTTCTTGAGTACCTCCTGAATGCCAGCACCAGGGACATAAAGATGAGTTAGGCACTCTCCTGCCTTCAAAGAGCTTACCGTCGAGTAAGGGAGACAGAGGAGTGGATGGCAGTTTCTACATCAAGCACGATGAGAAGGCAGAGGAATGGCATCTAACTCAGCCCCACTAAGGAATGCTCCCCAGAAAACAGGAGCTGAGCTGGGTCCTGAAGGACACGTGGAAGATGGTCAGCATGGACTGAGGGGAAGGGCATTCCAGGCAGAGGGAACTGCGTGGACAGAGATGGGGGGATGTGGGATGGCCTGCTTAACTGCAGGTAACTCAGTGTGGCCAGAAGAGGGGTGGGGTGAGAGGAGTGTAGGAAAGAGATCAGGGGTCAGGTCCCCAGGGGCCTTGTGTATATGCTAAGG
The DNA here is from genome assembly GCF_000001405.40 of Homo sapiens. Lineage (NCBI taxonomy): Eukaryota > Metazoa > Chordata > Mammalia > Primates > Hominidae > Homo > Homo sapiens. The sequence continues at coordinate 110,622,751 of NC_000012.12, forward strand.
GGTTTGGACTCTGTCCTGAAGTCCACAGGGCCTGGGTTGTAAGAGGATCAGATTCCCATCTTATGTAATTCTGCAGCATCATATGCAGTGGATCACAAGGCCAAGCCTGGTGGCAGAGAACCAAGTAAAAAGCTATTGCAGATGCGGATTAACGGTTTCCCTCCCCATCCTCCCCAAAAGCTGTGACAGTGGGGCTAGGGAGAAGTATCTAGATCTGATGATGATACTGAAATACTGCACAGGATTGGGGAGGTGGCTGACTGGAGGGGAGTAAGGAATCCCATTCTGTGGAGCCTTCCATCACTCTAGCCCTCGTGGTCGTCCATCCCTGCTCCTGCTTTATGAGCTCACACCTCATCCTGTCAAGCACTCACTAAAAGACCTTCAGAAGTTCTCATTATCTATAGGCTTCTTAGCCTGGATTCAGATTCATTCCCACCTTCTTTCAGAGCCTATCACCTGCTACCAGCCATCTCAAATCCACTCCAGCCCAACCTTGGTACTCAGAGTTTCCCAAAGACCATGAGTCGTTACCCAGCCTTGGCCATTGCCGTTCTTGCACTTGGATTTGCTTCCCATTCCTACTGTCTGTCTGATTTCTACTTATCCTTTAAGGCCCAGTAAAAACGGAATGATAATATCCAGTCTTGGCAAGGGTACAGGGAAATAGGCACTCTTACTACAGTGTTGGTGAGAATGTATATTGTGCCCTTCTAGAGGGCAATCTGGGAGTGTGTCTCAGAAGCTTTAAATAATGTTACCTGCCTTTTGGTTTAGCAGTTCCAGTTCAGGAAACATATCCTAAGGAAACAACTGGAGACAGTCATAAAGATGTATGTATAAGGTTGTCATTATAGCATTACATATAATTGGGGAAAATTAGAAACCTAAACCTAAACCAACGATCATAGCTCGCTGTAACCTTGCTCCTGGGCTCAAGCAGTCCTCCTACCTCAGCCTCCCAAGTAGTTAGAACTATAAGCATCTGCCAGCATGCCGGGCTAATTTTTTCTTTGTTTTCTGTAGAGATCGGGGTCTGTGTTGCCCAGGCTGGTCTTGAACTCCTGGCCTCAAGTGATCCTCCCCAGCCTCCCAAAATGCTGGGATTACAGGCATGAGCCACGGTGCTTGGGCTGTACCATATCCATATCTATATTGGTTAAACAAATTGGGGTATTAATAGGCTGGTATACGATGATGAAGCCACTTATAATATTGTAAGTGCATATTAGGCATTATATATTAAGTGAGAAAAGCCTTAAAACAGTATGTAGAATATGGTCCCATTTTTATTATGACTATCTCTATACTATTATCTGTCTGTCCAGCTATCTGTCTATTTTTTTTTTTTTTTAGAGACAAAATCTCACTTTGTGGCCCAGGCTGGTCTTGAAATCCTGGCTTCAAGTGATCCTCCTGCCATGGCCTCCCAAAGTACTGGCATTGTAGGCGTGAGCCACTGTGCCCAGCCTCTATGTTTTTTTGAGATAGGTCTTGCTCTGTCACCCAGGCTGGAGTGCAGTGACACGATCATAGCTCACTGTAACCTTGCTCCTGGGCTCAAGCAGTCCTCCTACCTCAGCCTCCCAAGTAGTTAGTACTACAGGCATCTGCCAGCATGCCGGACTAATTTTTTCTTTGTTTTTTGTAGAGATAGGGGTCTGTGTTGCCCAGGCTGGTCTTGAACTCCTGGCCTCAAGTGATCCTCCTCAGCCTCCCAAAATGCTGGGATTACAGGCATGAGCCATGGTGCTTGGCCTGTATCTGTATCTATAGCAAATTGATTGGGATTTGTCAAATCTGGGATTGGTTGAAGACTTAACTCATAACTTCTTTTTTTTTTTTTTTTGGGAGAGAGAGTCTCACTCTGTCGCCCAGGCTGGAGTGCAGTGGCACGATCTTGGCTCACTGCAACCTCCCAGGTTCAAGCAATACTCCTGCCTCAGTCTCCCCAGCAGCTGGAACTACAGGCACATGCCACCACGCCTGGCTAATTTATTTTTGTATTTTTAGTAGAGACAGGGTTTCGCCATGTTGGCCAGGCTGGTCTTGAATGCCTGACCTGAGGTGATCCGCTCACCTCGGCCTCCCAAAGTGCTGGGATTACAGGCATGATCCACTGTGCCTGGTCCTGTACCATAACTTGTAAGCACTAAACCTTCCAGACGACTGATCTCAGGTGATCCACCCGCCTCGGCCTCCCAAAGTGCTGGGATTAGAGGCATGAGCCACTGTGCCTGGCCCTGTACCATAACTTCTAAGCATTAAACCTTCCAGATGACTCCACATTTTCTTACTCTCACAGTCCTTTGAAGACAGCTTTATTCTAAAGACAAGGAATTTGGATCTATTCTGGGTACTTTTAAACAATCTGAAGGTCTGCAAAATTTTATCTAATTGATGCTATCAGAGTTTGTAAAGTTCACTGACATAAAAATTATACCCTGATCTACGTTCTTGACAAGATTTCCTTAAAGGTTATTCTACTTGTCTCAATTTTGTTTTTTTCTGTTAGAGGAAAAAGTTTTAAATGCCAAGCTTTTTCTTTTTTAAAAAGAGATGAGGATCTCACTATGTTGCCAGACTGGCCTCGAACTCCTAACCTCAAGTGAGCCTTGCATCTTAACCTCCTGAGTAGTTGGTAATACAGGTGCATGCTACTGTGACTGGCCCAAATGCAAAATATTTCAACACAGAATAAACTAAATAAAAATGGATTCAGCCAGCTGTGGTGACTCATGCCCAGCACTTTGGGAGGCTGAGGCAGGTGGATCATCTGAGGTAAGGAGTTTGAGACCAGCCTGGCCAACATGGTGAAACCCTGTCTCTAATAAAAATACAAAAATTAGCCAGGCATGGCAGTGCACACCTGTAGTCCCAGCTACTCGGGAGGCTGAGGCAGGAGAATCACCTGAACCCAAGAGGCAGAGGTTGCAGTGACCCGAGATCGTGCCACTGCACTCCAGCCTGGGAGAGTGAGGCTACATCTCAAAAAAAAGGATTCAATTTTTTTTTTTTTTTTGAGATGGAGTCTCACTCTGTCACCAGGCTTGAGTGCAGTGGCGCGATCTCGGGTCACTGCAACCTCTGCCTCTTGGGTTCAAGCGATGTTCGTGCCTCAGCCTCCCTAGTAGCTGGGATTACAGGCACCCACCACCACGCCCAGCTAATTTTTGTATTTTTAGTGGAGATGGGGTTTTACCATCTTGGCCAGGCTGGTCCCCATCTCCTGACCTTGTGATCCGCCTACCTCGGCCTCCCAAAGTGCTGGGATTACAGGTGTGAGCCACCGTGCCCAGCCGGATTCAATTCTAATATGCTTTCTTTTTTCTTTCTTTCTTTCTTTTTTTTTTTGTGAGACAGAGTCTTGCTCTGTTGCCCAGGCTAGAGTGCAGTGGCGCGATCTTGGCTCACTGCCAGCTCTGCCTCCTGGGTTCATGCCATTCTCCCGCCTCAGCCTCCCAAGTAGCTGGGACGTCATGCTTTCATAAATATCCTCCACGTAACTGTTAACATAGTACAGTACAAGCATCTGACAGTTTTAAAATAATTTTGCTAAGATTGTGTGCTTATGTCTTGTAACTTTGTATTATTATTTTTTTAATTTTCAGGGGCGACAGCCAGTTTTGTAGTCAAAAAGCAGTCATCTATTCATTGAATTTTACAGCAAACCCACCTCAAAGAGTATTTGAACTTGTTGACCAGATTAATCCATCTATTTTCTGCATTCATATTACAAACTGTAAGTATTTGACATTGATATATTTTGTGAAGCTCTGGAAAATTTTTCTCAAAGTTATGGAAAAATGTGTCAGATTTATTTTATAATTATGATTATGGTTTTTTTGAGACAGAGTCTTGCTCTGTCACCCAGGCTGGCGTGCAGTGGCGCAATCTCGGCTCACTGAAACCTCCACCTCCCAGATTCAAGTGATTCTCCTGCCTCAGCCTACTGAGTAGCTGGGATTACAGGTGCCTGCCACCATGCCTGGATAATTTTTGTGTGTGCGTGGTTTTTTTTTTTTTTTTTTTTTTTTGAGACGGAGTTTCGCTCTTGTTGCCCAGGCTGGAGTGCAACGGCTCAATCTCGGCTCATCACAAATCCTCTGCCTCTTGGGTTCAAGTGAGTCTCCTGCCTCAGCCTCCCAAGTAGCTGGGATTACAGGCATGGGCCACCATGCCTGGCCAGTTTTGTATTTTTAGTAGAGACGGGGTTTCTCCATGTTGGTCAGGCTGGTCTTGAACTCCCGACCTCAGGTGATCCACCTGCCTTGGCCTCCCAACGTGCTGGGATTACAGGTGTGAGCCACTGTGCCCAGCCCTATTATTACTATTTTTTCTTTCTTTCTTTTTTTTTTTTTTTTTGAGGCAGAGTCTCACTCTGTTGCCCAGGTTGGAAAGCAGTGGCACGTTCTCAGCTCACTGCAACCTCTGCCTCCCGGGTTCAAGTGATTCTCCTGCCTCAGCCTCCCGAGTAGCTGAGATTACAGGTACCTGCCACCACACCCAGCTAATTTTTTATTTTTAGTAGAGACAGGGTTTCACCATGTTGGCGAGGCTGGTCTCAAACTCCTGACCTTAAATGATCCTCCTGCCTCGGCCTCTCAAAATGCCGAGATTACAGGTGTGAGCTGCCTTGTCCAGCCCTCAGTTAGATTTAAAGCAATTATTCTGTTTTGCTATATGTATAGTGTATATCTTTAGAGACCATTTCACAGGTAATAGGAAGTAACTTTATAGACCTGTGGGCATGCACATTTTCTTTAAAAGTAATTATGATTGTGTAGTTGTCTTTCGAAACCGTATACTTATCTTAAAAGTGTTTATAATATGCAGACATACATAGGAATCTAGGTTTCTATATATACATGTGTTTTTTTAACTTTATTTCCTCCTGGTTTAATGGTTGAAAATCAGGCTCAGCTTTGAACATTACCTGTGGTTTCTATTTCCTTTTTTCTTTTATTTTTACTAAGAATATTTGCATGAAAACAGGATCTTTATTTTTATCTGAGCATTTAGCTCAAATATATGTCTAGATCCAAAGTACATGTACATGTAAAATGTTATCAGGATATCAAAGATCAGAGACACGTTTATGCTTTTATTTGTCAAATTCTGTCATATTTTCAGAATATCTTTATAGATTTTGGTTTTGTTCTCTTGTGATTGAAAACAGGCAGATGCTCTGTGTGATTTGTAATCTGAAGTGATAACTGGCCAGTGACTGTCAGGTTCTCTGTCGTAACACCAGCCCAGTGAACATGCCAGCCTGCTTCCTTCTCTCTCTTCTGTACACAGCACATTTTACTCCAGGACTTTCACGGTGGCTGTGTGAGAGTAGAAGTCGGATTCTTTCATTCCCATAGCCATCCGGAGAGAGCTTCTCCTTACAGGTTGATACAGCAAACTCATCAGTCCAGGGGCTAGAGAAATAGACGGATTATTATTGGCTTCTGTTGTGCTGTTTACTTGTAAGTGCTACAAACTATTACTTCCCCATTATTAGAAGAAGCAGGCTGAGTCTGGAGGTCCTGTTTGTTTAATAAGCTTTAAAAAATCCTGGGAGAAGTGAATATGGAAAAATACACTTTTTTTTTTTTTTTTTGAGATGAAGTCTCACTGTGTCACCCAGGCTGGAGTGCAGTGGCGCTATCTCAGCTCACTGCAACCTCTGCCTGCTGGGTTTCAGCGATTCTCCTGCCTCAGCCTCCCGAGTAGCTGGGATTACAGGTGCACACCACCATGACTGGCTAATTTTTGTATTTTTAGTAGAGACAGGATTTCACCGTGTTGGCCAGGCTGGTCTCAAACTCCTGACCTCAGGCAGTCCGCCCGCCTTGGCCTCCCAAAGTGTTGAGATTACAGGCGTGAGCCCATGCGCCCAGCCAAGACACTATTTGTTTTTTACATCAGCCTTGATGCTATTAAAAACTTTCCAAAACCTTTATATAGGTCATACATATTATACATATATTTTATACCGATTTAAAATACTGTTTTTTTTAAAAAACAGATAAACCTGCATTATCCTTTATTAATCCAGAAGTACCTGATGAAAACAATTTTGATACATTGATGAAAACATCTGATGGTTTTACATTGAATGCTGAATCATATGTTTCCTTCACAACCAAACTGGATATTCCTACTGCTGCTAAATATGAGGTGAGCCTGAACTTGATTGATTCTTTTCATCCCATCACAAATATCTTTCCTTGTAAGTTAATTTTCAAGGTTACCAGGAAAACTGGGTTCCTTGAGACAGAGTTGATATTATAGACTAAAAAACTTAATGTTCATGCCTACAAATCAAAGATCATGAAAATTAAAACTGAATATTTGAAGATGGATTAAAGACTTAAATGTAAGACCTAAAACCATACAAACCCTAGAAGAAAACCCAGGCAATACCATTCAGGACATAGACATGGGCAAAGACATCATGAGTAAAACAACCAAAAGCAATGGCAACAAAAGCCAAAATTGACAAATGGGATCTAATTAAACTAAAGAGCTTCTGCACAGCAAAAGAAACTATCATCAGAGTGAACGTGTGACCTACAGAATGGGAAAAAATTTTTGCAATCTATCCATATGACAAAGGGCTAATATCCAGAATCTACAAGGAACTTAAATAAATTTACAAGAAAAAAACAACCCCATCAAAAAGTGGGTGAAGGATATGAATAGACACTTTTCAAAAGAAGACATTTAAGTGGCCAACGAACCTATGAAAAAAGGCTCATCATCACTGGTCATTAGAGAAATGCAAATCAAAACTGCAATCAGATACCATCTCACGCCAGTTAGAATGACGATTATTAAGAAGTCAGGAAACAACAGGTGCTGGAGAGGATATGGAGAAATAGGAACGCTTTTACACTGTTGGGTGGGAGTGTAAATTATTTCAACCATTGTGGAAGACAGTGCGGCGATTCCTCAAGGATCTAGAACCTAAAATACCATTTGACCCAGCAATTCCATTACTGAGTATATACCCAAAGGATTATAAATCATTCTATAAAGACACACGCACACGTATGTTTATTGCAGCACTATTCACAATAGCAAAGACTTGGAACCAACCCAAATGTCCATCAGTGATAGACTGGGTGAAGAAAATGTGGCACATACACAACATGGAATGCTAAGCAGCCATAAAAAAGGATGAGTTCATGTCCTTTGTAGGAAACCATCATTCTCAGCAAACTAACATGGAACAGAAAACCAAACATCGCATGTTCTCACTCATAAGTGGGAGTTGAACAATGAGAACACATGGACACAGGGAGGGGAACATCACACACAGGGGCCTGTCAGAGGGTGGTGGGCTAGGGGAGGGGATAGCATTAGGAGAAACACCTAATGTAGATGATGGGTTGATGAGTGCAGTAAACCACCATGGCACGTGTATACCTACGTAACAAACCTGCATGTTCTGCACCCGTTATCCCAGAACTTAAAATATAATAATAAAAATAAAACTGAATATTTGAATTCTGAATAGAGGATTTAAGGTTGTTTATTCTGTGATAAACTTGTATTTTGTCTCTTCAGAGTTCTTTGTTCTCCTCAACCTTAAAAGATGCAGCAAAATGCTTGAGGCATGTTGCTGAGATCATGGAGTAGATTGGTTGGTTGTCTGGTCATCTTCTCAAAATTGTATTTAGTTTTACAGATTTTGGAAGATGTGTGCTGTTTTATGTCTATTCAGTAGTACACCTTTAAATGGGACACATATTAACTGAATGAACCTTAACTCTTTTGGAAGCATCTTTTTAAAAGCAAAGTATAAAAGCAACATGTACTAGTTCTAAAAGTTCAACATATAGAGGCATATAAGTTGAAAGATCCCTGTATCCATTAATATTCATACTGCAAATCACTTTGAAGAGATTGGTGTGTATTCTTCCTGATTTTTAAATATGTCTATTATAATGTATATATGGTGTTGTATAGAAGTGGGATTTATAGGTATCCACATTGTTCTAGAAAATTCCTTTTTCAGTGATAAATCATGTGCATCTTCCCATGTCAATATAAAATTTACCATTGAGCATTTTCCATGTGCCAGGCACTGTGAAGAGCTTTTCAGGCATTACTTCATGCACCCCCCTGGGAGGGATGCACCATTGTCTCCATTTACCTGATGAGAAAAACTTAGGCACAGGAAAGCAACTTGTCAGAACTAGTGATAGAGCTGCGTTGTTGTTGTTGTTGTTGTTGTTTTTGAGATGGAGTCTTGCTGTGTCGCCCAGGCTGGAGTGCAGTGGTGTGATCTTGGCTCACTGCAACCTCCGCCTCTCAGGTTCAAGCAATTCTCCCACCTCAGCCTCCCAAGTAGCTGGGATTGCAGGCACCTGCCATCATGATCAGCTAATTTTTGTATTTTTGTAGAGATGGGGTTTCACCATGTTGGCCAGGCTGGTCTTCAGCTAATTTTTGTATTTTTGTAGAGACGGGGTTTCACCATGTTGGCCAGGCTGGTCTTGAACTCCTGACCTCAGGTAATCCGCTCGCCTCGGCCTCCCAAAGTGCTGGGATTACGATGTGAGCCACTGCACCCAGCCCTAGAGCTGTAGTTTACAAAATATTCTTGGCTGGGCATGGTGGCTCACGCCTATAATCCCAGCACTTTGGGAGGCCGAGGCGGGCAAATCACTTGAGGTCAGGAGTTCCACACCAGCCTGGACAATATAGTGAAACCCCATGTCTACTAAAAATACAAAAATTAGCTGGGCGTGGTGGTGCGTGCCTGTAGTTCCAGCTACTTGGAAGGCTGAGGCATGAGGATCGCTTGAACCCAGGAAGCGGAGGTTGCAGTGAGCTGAGATCATGCCACTGCACTCCAGCCTGGGCAATAGAGCAAGACTCCATCTCAAAAACAAACAAACAAACAAAGCCAAAATATTATTTTCTGTGTATGTATCTGAGCTGTTCCACTCTTAACAGACATGTTTCCAGTTTTTGCTGTTATCCACAATGAACATTCTCATATATACATACATTTTTGTACACTTCACTGATTAAATCCTTAGGATACATTCCTATAAATGAGTTAGTTTGGTAAAAATGAATGGAAAATTTAAATATTGATACCAGATTGCCCTCCAGAAAAATTGCAGTGCTTTACACTCCCAGCTCCAGTGAGTGGAAGGAGTTGTTTCCCATACTCCTGCTGGCACTAAAGCATTTGGATAAACTTTCAAGTTCGAGAAAATTGGCTATAAGCCTAATAGCTATTAATCTGGGTTTTGAAGATTGGAAAATAATTTTGTGGGGTTTGGTTTTGGGAAAGAAGGCATTCTTTCATAAAACTGATTTATAAAAAATTGATTTTTATGATTTTAATGTATACTGTATATGTTATTTAAATAATTAATGCTAGCGAAAAATAATTCTCTCAACCCTGTGTCCAGCCACCTAGTTCCTGTCTGCAGAGGCAGATCGTTATGTCATTGTCTCATGTACCCTTCCAGAGGAATTCCATGACTAAGAAGCCTGCAAATACAGTAACATGCACATACAGAAACACATCCTTTTAAAAATGGCGACACAACTAGATGTGAGCTTCTTGAGGGCAAGGACCACATCTGTTTTTTGCTCATCAGTGTGTCTCTGATGCCTGCAGTGCTGCTTGGCACATTGTGGGTGCCCAGTAAGTGTTGAATGAATACTTTAATTACACCATAACGACTGTTGGTTGTTGTGTTTGCAGTATGGGGTTCCTCTGCAGACTTCAGATTCGTTTCTGAGATTTCCTTCGTCCCTGACATCATCTCTGTGCACTGATAATAACCCTGCAGGTAAGAAAGTGGTCATTCTTCTTTCCTTAGACATTTGCTGTTATTATTAGGTTGGTGGAAAAGTAGTTGCGGTTTTTGCCATTAAAAGTAATGACCAAAATCGCAATTATTTTTGCACCAACTTAATACTTTACATTTGTAGTAGTCATCATTAAACAGGCCTCGTAACTAAAAACAGAATCTTCGGGTTAAAAGAGGCCTCAAAGGTCACGTAGTTCAATTTCTCACCCAGGGCCAGTCTTTTCTACCACATGCAGTCACTGCTTGAGCACTTGTAGTGATGGGGAACTGACTACCTGAAAACAGCTCACTCAATTGTTTAACACTTCCAGTTGTTGGAAAGTTCTAAAGCATATCAACAGCTAACCATTATTAAGCACATATTGTGTGCTGGGTATTGTGTTAAGTGCTTGTATGTGTTTTCCCTTAAATACTCTCTGTAATCCCTTGAGGCCAGGTTAGTATCTCCATTTTTTAGAGCAGGAAACAGAGATGTACAGTTTCTTGTTCAGGCTCACTCAGGTGGTGGTGGAACAGGAATGGACCCCATGCAGTTGGCCTGCAGCCTGTGCTCCCCTATGCTCCTCTCCATTCAGGAGCCTCCAAGAGTTTGCAGAATGGCCCCCTAGGCAGTGGAAGGCAGCAGGCTTGGCTCTCCCATCCCCAAGGGGCCTCACTATGAAGAAGCTAAGTAATGGACGATAGGAATGTATTCTGTATTCTGCTGAAAAGACAAATGTATTCTGCTGAAAAGACAATCTTGCACACACGAAGAACAGTGTAAATTAAAACCAAACCAAAGGCTGGGTGTGGCGGCTATGCCTGTAATCCCAGCACTTTGGGAGGCTGAGGTGGGCAGATTGCTTGAGATTAGGAGTTTGAGCCTGGGCAACATAGTGAAACCCTGTCTTTATAAAAAATACAAAAATTAGCCAGACATAGTGGTGCACATCTGTAGTTCCAGCTACTCAGGAGGCTGAGGTAGGAGGATTGCTTGAGCCAGGGAGGTGGAGGTTGCAGTGAGCTGAAATTGCACCACTGCACTCCATCCTGGGTGACAGAACAAGACCCTGTCTCAAAGAAAAAAAAAAAAGAAAACAAAACCAAAAACAACTCCCCCTCCCCCACAACAAAACCTAAAAACCAAACTGAGATACCATTTTCCCCTGTCAGATTGGCAAAACTCAAAAAAACTGAAGCTGTGGGGAAACAGGCAGTCCACCTACATAGCTGGTGAGACTGTAAATTGGTACAACCTTGGTGAAGGGCAATTTAGCAATTTGTATCCAGATTAGAAATGAATGTGCTCTTCAACCCAGCTGTTCTACTTCCAGGAGTTGATCCTACAGAAATGCTGGCCAATATGCAAAATAATAGATTGCAGCATTGTTGGTGGTAGCAAAGATGGAGACAACTTAAGTGTTCATTAATAGGGAACTGGTATAATAATTATGCCACATCTATAATACTAATTATCCCCAAGAAAGGAGGAGCTGCTTCATGTAAAGACAGGCCAATCTCCAAGATATATTGTTCAGTAAACAAAATGAGGGGCAGAATAGTGTATATATTGTACATTTGTTTCCAAAAGGGGAAAGAAATAATAATAAAAATATATGTATGTTTTTTACACACATATTTGTTTTTATTTCCATAGAATATTTCTAGAAAGAGACACAAGAAGCCTCATGCCAGTTGCCTCTGGAGAAGGGGACTGGTGGTAGCTGGGGGGCAGGACAAGAATTGGAGGGGGATTTACTCATTATCTTTTTGTGCTTTTTGAATTTTGAATCTCATGAATGTATTCTTTTTGAAAAATAATTTAAAACATTGTAGGCCAGGCGTACTGGTTCACACCTGTAATCCCAGCACTCTGGGAGGCCGAGGCGAGAGGATCACTTGAGGTGAGGAGTTTGAGACCAGTCTGGGCAACACGGTGAAACCTTGTCTCTACTAAAAAAACAAAACAAACAACAACAAAATTGTATATCTGTGTTGTAACTTATTTTACAGTTTTACCTAGATTAAAACTTTTTAGTTGCCATTGGAAAATTGAAAAATTTCTTCTCTTTTGTATTTTTTTTTCCTTGGGAATGTTAATGATTTCTAGCGTTTCTGGTGAACCAGGCTGTTAAGTGCACCAGAAAAATAAATTTAGAACAGTGTGAAGAAATTGAAGCCCTCAGCATGGCTTTTTACAGCAGCCCGGAAATTCTGAGGGTAAGAATTATTTTGAAGTGGAACTTACTCATTAGGTATGTTTCTGTTCTTTCTGCGCTTTTAAAATATGACAAGTACAGAATAATTTCAGTACATGATTGACACTCGAGTTTAAATTTCTCCAGTACTTTTATATCAGTGATTATTGAAATAATCCTTTAAATAATTTTTATTTTTTTATAGTTAGCTCATATTTTGCTTTTGTTGATTTTTTTCTTTCATTCATTTTGATGGTAACCAATATCTGTCTCCTGAATAAAAACAAATCTTTACGAATAACTAAAAACTTTAGAAATCATAAAAACATCTTCATGTCTGTGACAGAAATAATCTTATTAGCCCCAAAAAGGGCTCCCTCTCAGAAACAGGCCAGAAAAGAAGAGGAAATCCACTTTCTGGTTGGCAGATGACACAGGCAGTCAGGAAAGAACAGGAAATGGGAGAAGTGGGCACAATGGTGAAGGGGCCCCTTCTCTCTGGTTACAGTGACTGAACCCTAAACTGAAGAAATGATGAGGCCACTGGCCCACATGACAGATGAGATGGAGGGTGGCAAGGGAAGAAGACCTTTTTCAATGATTAAAAACCATATGATAGGCTGAGGCAGGAGGATCACTTGAGGCTAAGAGTTCAAGAACCAGCCTGGGCAACATAATGAGACCCTGTCCCTACAAAAAATAATAAAAAAAAACCTTTTGTGTCATGGTTGTGCACACCTGTGGTCCCAGCTACTCAGGAGGCTAAGACAGGAGGATCACTTGATCCTAAGAGGCTGAGGTTGCAGTGAGCTGAGGTTGCAGTGAGCTAAGGTTGCAGTGAGCTATGATCGCACTCCAGCCTGGGTGACAGAGTGAGACCTGGTCTCTAACAAAACAAAACAACTGCCCCGCCAGAAACATACGATTATTGTCAAAGGGGTCCCCTTCCCAATTTCCTTTTTATGAGGGGTACAGGGGTAGGGTGGTTCATGGCACCATTATTTATCTGGACCTCAGTTTTTAGGATCAAATTTAACCTTTCCCTCTCCCCTCATTTTCTCTCTCCCTCTCTTGTGTAAGTCAGCCATCTAGGCTTGTGAATTCTTCTAGTTAGCTTGAGCTCACAGTTGTCTTGAAGCAATTCCTTGGGCATCCAGGTACAGTTCTCTTTCAGCACAGGTCTCTCCAAACAGGTCTATTTGTCTCCCTCCCCACGTTTCTCAGTGGGCCCTTCAGAAAGAAAGCTGCAGCTCTACTGGGGAGGCAAGAGCTTGTCATTGAGGAGGCTTGGGCCAGAGGCAGGAAGACCAGTTAGGAGTCTGTGGAAATCGCCTGGGCAAGCAATGGTGGCCTTCCAGCAAGGACAGGTGCAGTGAGAGTGACCAGGAGTGCAAGAACTGTGCTTCCCACAGTGCTTATGGCCGTGAGACCATGTGGAAATATACAATAATGACCCTGGAGCATGGAGCCTTCCTGAGACTAGCTTGGTGAGCTTCTACCTGGAGGAAATGAAGATAGAAGGAAAACGCAATGTGACCTCTTTGATTAGGACATAGATTCAAACACATGCAGATGGGGAGTCTTGATCAAGGAAATTCTGTTTTCTTCTTTGTGAAGCCTTTAATAAGATGAATATACTCTTCAACTCGAGATCTGAAAAAGCAATGAAAATACTTCTTTTTGTTGTACTTAACACAATTTTTTGTGGTTTCTTTTTATCTAGGTACCTGATTCAAGAAAAAAGGTAAGAGTATTTATTTATTTTTGTAATAGAAAGTAGGATAGTTTATAATACTGTCTTATTTCTGAGCCCTTTTAAATGAATACAGTTACAATTAGAAGGGGACCTTGTTGCTAATAGCAAATACATTTGCCAAAAAGCAAGCAGAAGTGCAATAGGGAAACTCCTTAGTGGGAGTCACACTTCTGGGCTTCCCAGCTGCCTCTGTTGTTGTGGTTTTGTACTCTTCCATGGTTCAGTGACACCACTGTCGTGACCAGCAGTGGGTATGATTGACTTCTGGACATTCAGGCTATCCCTTGCTCCCTTCTTAGTCTCTTGTTAAGAAAGCTGTCCAGCTCCCAGGATGCTGCCCGTCCAGGGCAGAAGCCATAAGCACTTTGGCCAGTGGGTGTCCATACCGCGTGGGAGGCGTGCCCCGTGGTATACCTTCAGGGCTTTATTTGAGGGTGGGTTCTTTTCAAAGCCTTATCGCCCCAGCCCAGGGTTCTACTTGATTGTGGTCAGGATGTCAGGGTCTCTTCGTGGCTATGTCAGAAGGAATGTGGATCCCTCACCCCTTATTCTAGGGTTTGCACCCTAGGTCTGCCTGTGAACACAGTCCCCATGGAGGCCTGAGTTGGTGGCTTTGTCATAGTTTCCCACCCTGTGGAACTGGCCAGCCTAGGTTCAAACCTCAGCTTTGCCATTATTTTCTTGTCGGACTGACACCGTGGTCTCCCTTTGTTGAGTGGATGGTAAGCGTCCGTGCAGAGGCATGACACAAGGCCAAGTGGGAGAAGCACATGAGGTGCTGGTGCGGCATCTGCGCATGGGATGCACTCGGGATGGGGATGCACTGGCTGTGATTGACTTCACTGATGCTCTGCACACAAACATGTTTGAGGGAGATGTTTGAAAGGAAATAGCCATGTGACTTTGGGTCTCACACAACGGTGTGTGAGGCTGGATCCTGTCTTCTGTGAAGGGTGGGAAGACCTATTATGAGGAATGATGGATGTTACTTGTGTTTTCAAACTTGTTTTAGTTATAGAGACCCTTTCTTAAATGCAGTCTGAAGTGGAACCCTCTCTAGAGTGTAACACACAGACTGAATGTGGAGCTGTGCTGGTTGGAGCAGGGATGGGGCCTGAAGCCCTCCACCTGCCCAGTCTCCTTCTCTCTCCTCTTTGGTCCCAGTGAAGAACCCTAGGGCTCCCAGGAATGCAGTGTGAAAGTCATGCAATGGGCTAGCTCTCACCTCCCTCCAACCCCTAGAGAGTGCTTGGATTTTACCACTCAAAACTGGAACCGTCTGTGGGGGCAGCAGCCCTATCAGCCTTGTTCATGATATATCCTTATTTCTAACGCAGCGTCCAGTAGGTACTGGGCACTCAATGAGTTACGCATTTAGTGATGAATGACTAGGAAGGAGGTGGGTCCATTCAGGGTGGGAAGACCTATTATGAGGAATGTGATGGATGTTACTGGAAGGCTTGGAGCAGGTGCCAGGACTGTTCTAAGTGCTGTATGTGTCTGACGTCTTTGAATCCTCTTGGCTGTCCTAGGAGGTAGGTTCAGTTACTGTCACTCTCTGGCAGATGAGTCACAGGAGATGAATGAGCTGCCCATGGCTGCACAGCTGGGAAGTGGCAGAGCTGGGACAGGGATCTAGGTGGTCTGGCCCCAGGGACCTTATACTTTACCACCATACTGGGCCAGCTCTACTCTGTGAGCCCATGTGACAGGCTTCACACACCTTCCTTCTTTGCATCCTGTGGCCACACAGGACGTGGCAGACTGGGACTTCCAACTTAGGTCTGTGTGACACCAAAGGTTGTGCTCTAAAGGACAAGCATGTAAACTAATAGTAGGAATTTGTTTAAAATTTTCTTAAAAAGCAGATTTTAAGGTTAGAGGATCAGGAGTATAGAAATTGGGTCTAATCTCCCCACTAAGTGAAGACTGTTATGATTGCCTGGAATCATTGTCAGTATCTGTGGAGCCATCAGTGAAAGATTCCAGGGTAGCCCTGTAGTTTCATTGAGTATGCTGGAGTTCTTTACCAGTGTGTGTGTGGTTTGGGAATGGTATGTGGTAGAAGAGGAATCAAGGAAATCAGCACAGCGCTACTGTTTCCTTCTCGGGACAGTTGAGTGAGCTGTCGAGACGAGGGCAGCTCCTGCCATTGACACCAGGACTCTCCAAAGCTCATTGACACTGAATCCTTCGGTTTTTGCCAATTCCACGCACACACCATGGAAGTGGCTCCAGCAGAGGCTGGTATGGCAGGCTATGCTCTTTCTTGGAACCCGGTGTCATTGCTGAATCAGGGGCCACTATGCTCAGAGTAAGGAACCCGGGGTTGCCCTTGTGTTAAACAAGAGCTAATTGAATAACAGCCTAGGACCCCCTCCATGCTGAAACCCCTTGGTGCGGCATGTTATGCAGAGGGCCTCACAGTGACTAGCATTGCCCTTCTGCCATTCTCGTCACATGACAGCTCACGTCTTTGTTACTGAGTCATGTCACTTTCTTCTATGAGAGGTTTTGACTCGCAGGTCTTCTTGGTCATGGGAGCAGACACATAAGGACTGCTTATTTATCTCTAAAATAACTGCTTAAATACTTGGTCATTTTGAATTATAAACAGCATGGTGCATGATTGAGTGCAAGTTCAAAGTGGTATAAACAACTGTTAATAGATACATGAGGCTCCTTCCTCAACAGTGGTTTCTAAGAATTGAAGTTTAGAGCAAATGACAGATTCATCCTATAGTACGAGGAGGCTCAGCTACCTTTAGAGGATGGCTTGATGCCTTGTTACTCTGCTGGTGGTGGCCATGAATGCAAAACGTCCTTTAATAGCACTGGGATAAGCAGGGCTTCCCTGGTGCTGCTGAAAATGTTTGTCTGTGTCTGTTTTTTGTTGCTCATAATCCTACCACCCAGAGAAACCACTGTGTGTGTGTGTGTGTGTGTGTATGTGTGTGTGAGCGTGCTTGCGCTTGTATAGAAGTTGTGTATAAATTGGGTCAAATGAATATTCGGGGGTGTGTGGGGGCTTAAGGATATATATCCTGGGACTGCATGTGAATGTGCATGTGTGGGTATGGAGTGTGTAGGAGTTGTGTTTTGGAGGTGAGGATATATATGTGTGCTTGACAGTGTGATGGAGTTTTGTGTGTATTTGAGATATAATTCATATACCATAAAACTCACCATTTTAAAGTATACAATTCTGTGGTTTTTAGTATAGTCACAGGTTGTGCAACCATCACCACTAATTCCGGAACATTTCCATCACCCCAAAAAGGAGCCTTGTGTTAGCAGTCACTCCTCATTCTTCCCCAGCTTTGTCCCCCATCCCCTGGCAACCACCGATCTACTTTTCGTCTCTATGGGTTTGCCTATTTGGACATTCCGTATAAATGGAATTAGAACTGTGGCCTTTTGTGTCTGGCTTCCATGACTTAGCATGTTTTTAAGATTCATCTGTACTGTGGCATGTATTAGTACTATTTTTAGGGATGAGTCATATGCCTTTGTAAGGCTAGACTTTGTATTTATCCATTCATCAGTTGATGGACATTTAGGTGGTTTTTGGTTTTAGCTATTTTGATAGTGCAGCTGTGAACATTTGTGTACAAGTTTTTGTGTAAACTTTATGTTTTCAGAGGTAACTACTTTTAAAGTTTTGGTTATATCCTCTCAAGTATTTTCTTTGTGAATGTATATATGTTTATTACTTTTGCAAATGTGGATCATAGTATATACACTGTTGTGTAGCATGCTTCCCCCTACTTGGCCATATATCAGGGGAGGTTTCTTTCCAGTTGGTTGGTTATTTTAGCCCATCCTCCCTGGGTAGAGCATCTTCAACACTCCAGGTCTTCACTCTGCAGGTCCCTATCACTGTTCAGTCCATCGTCATTCAGTCTCTAAATAAAACGCTCACCCGACGGGAGGACACTGATGTGCTGCAGCCGACTCTCGTCAACGCTGGACACTTTAGCCTTTGCGTGAATGTTGTTCTTGAGGTAGGTGCCGAGTTTGGCTTTGAGAGCTTGTCTGTGGCAGACTTAAGCCTCTTGTTGCGCCGGGGTAACTGGACGCCCTCCGAGGACGCTCTGTCCCAGCCCATGGTGTGGCTTTTCTTGGCTCAGCTGCCTGCTTGTCTTTCTGCTGTCTCATCAAAGGACACCTCTTGTCTCCACAAACTTAGTGACTTGCCGGAATACATCAAAATATTTTTGTTGTTGCTGTTTTTGTTTTAACATGTTTCCTCTGCAGAGATAGGCTTATTGCATTCTGCTTGGACCAGCTTATGTGGAACTTCTGTAATTGGGCAGAGTGGCTCAGATGACCCTGTCTGCTAGGGGTGGTGCTGAGGGAACACCTCTCATAATCCAACTGGACAGCAGAGCAAGGCTTCAACACATGGAGAAACAGGGAAAGATTTGCTATCTATGGGTGTTTTCAGTTATTCATACAGCTTCTGAAATGTAATGGAACAGGTATATTTGGAGTATCATTTTGTTTTTAGGTAAAGTACAGCCTCACATACACAGATGCAGGTGAAGTCACCAAAGCTGATCTCTCATTCGTTCTGGGGACAGTTAGCAGCGTAGTGGTCCCACTGCAGCAAAAGTTTGAAATTCATTTTCTTCAGGTAAGGTTGATCAATTTGGCATAAGTATTTAATTGCCAAGTTAAAAAGAAATAATGACTTCTCAGTGGATAAAACTGAATTTCTAAGTATTACATCCAAGCCTTTGTAGTGAACAGAGGGCTTTGTGTAGCCTGTGCATTTGTAATGAAACCAAGCATTCTCCTTGTATCTTTTTTCCTTTTGGGAAAAGATTCCCTTCCACATTAGCTTGTTCTTTTACAGTATGATGTACTCCTACACCTGGCAGATGTATTTATAGTTCTGAGTAGGGAGGGAGAAATTCTTTTATTGGTTGGTAATTCCATATTTTATTATGAAAGAAGAATTTTTCTTCCTGCCATTTCCTTATTAAAATGAGAATTATTTGGGGGCATTTCTGCATTGTCTTTCAGGAAAATACCCAGCCAGTCCCTCTCAGTGGAAACCCTGGTTATGTCGTGGGGCTCCCATTAGCTGCTGGATTCCAGCCTCATAAGGGATATCCTTTTTGGTTCTGTAGAGGGTGGATTTATTTCTCTCTCCATGTGCGTGGGCTGCACTGCTCTTTATCGCTGAGGCTCCCCTGGGCTGCTTGTGGGAAGGAGAGAGCAGTCCAGGCCGAGCTTCCTGCAGGCGGCTCTGGTGGGCGGCCAGTCTGGCTACACAGCAGGTGGGCTGGGGGGAGACTGGCAGTTGGGGGTGAGACAGCACGTCCTGGGAAAATGTCAGTGTTTTTTTTTTTTAATCTCCTTTTTTTTTTCAGCCTGCCATTAAGCCACAAAATATGTCAGTGTTTTACAACGAAAATCTTAAGAGAG